>NW_021160000.1:0-300000 GCF_000001405.40 Homo sapiens
TCCTTTAGAACAGTTTACCTGTAACCTGATTGGGAAAGAGGTGAAGAGAATTTTAGCAGCAGGTTTTTGAGAGACTCAAGTTCCTATTGGTAGCGTGAGCTATAAGTATGTAAGTATTTCTGTGAATTAGTGGGGGGAAGGAGGGTCTTTGGCATTTCATTTAATACAATAACCCAGTCTGAGAAATAGGTATTTTTATTCCTGTCATTACAGAATCAAGGGAGGTGTAGTTTATGAGTCGGGGGGATGGGTTGGAAAGTGTTTTCAGTATTTCCAGTTAAAGAAGCTTTAAAAAGTCATGCAATTATCTTCTGCTGTTTCAGAAAAGTGATTCATATGTTCTCCACAGCTGAAGGCCTGCTGACCCAGGGTGATAAGATCACTGCTGATGGACTTCAGGAGGTGTTTGAGACCGATGTCTTTGGCCATTTTATCCTGGTAAAGAAGCTGTGGGCTTAATAAGCTAATATTTGGTGTGATAGTTCCTGTAAAGCTCTGGGCACAGGGCATTATTATAGTTGAGCAGCCAGTTAACTGATTTAATCTCATGTTTGAGTTTTCTTGATTGCATTTGCCTTGTTTATTGTGAGCATGGAATACTTCTGGAAGCTTTCCTAGTAGATTTTTCTTTAATAAATGTACTAATAGTTTTTGATTTACAGAATTACTGCAAAGATAGTACAGAGACTTTCTGTATGCCCTACACCCAGTTTCCCCTATTATTAACATTTCGCATTGGTATGATGCATTTGTCGAAATAGATGAATCAATTCTGCTACATTATTATTAACTAAAGTACACACTTTATTCAGGTTCTGTTTTTGCCTAATGTCTTTTTTCAGTTCTAGGATCCCATTCAAGATACTACATTACATTTAGCAGTCATGTCTCCTTAGGCTCTTCTTGGTTGTGACAGCTTCTCAGACTTTCCTTGTTTTTGATGACCTTGACAGTTTTGAGGAGTACTGCTTAGGTGTTTTGTAGACTCTCTCAATCGGGATTTGTCTGATGTTTTTCTCATGGTGAGACTGAAGAATGTGGTTTTTGGGAGGAAGGCCACAGAGGTAAAGTGACATTCTCATGACATCACATCAAGGGTGTATTCTTTCAGTATGACTTCTCAGTGTTGATATTAACCTTGATCACCTGGCTTGAGGTCATGTCTGTCAGGTTTCTCCATTGTTAAGTTACTTTTTCTTTCTCCCTTTTCATACTCTACTTTTTGAAAGAAAGTTGGGCCGGGCACGGTGGCTCCTGCCTGTAATCCTAGCACTTTGGGAGGCCAAGGCAGGCGGATTACCTGAGGTTGGGAGTTTGAGATCAGCCTGACCAACATGGAGAAACCCCATCTCTATCAAAAAACAAAATTAGCCGGGTGTGGTGACGCATGCCTGTAATCCCAGCTGCTTGGGAGGCTGAGGCAGAAGAATCGCTTGAACCCGGGAGGCAGAGGTTGCGGTGAGCTGAGGTCATGCCATTGCACTCCAGCCTGGGCAACAAGAGTGAAACTCCATCTCAAAAAAAAAAAAAGAGAAAAAGAAAGAAAGTTACTATGTGCAGCCAATGCATACTGGCTAGTGCTCTACCTTCTTAAGAGAGTGGGTTATCTACAGAAATTATTTGGATTTTTTCCACAAGGGAGATTGTCAGTTCTCCTTTATTTATGTCTTTATTCAATCATTTATTGTATCCATATGGACTCATGTTTATGTATTTGCTGCTTTGAAATTATAAATACTATTTTATTTTCCTGCTCAAATTTTTTCAGTTTTGGCCACTGGGAACACTTTCAGTTGGCTCCTGTATCTCTTTGGCACACCCCCATTGTTATGGTTTTCTCTTTTTGTTTTAGCTTTCATTTTGAGCAGTTTCTTACTATCTGGCACTACAAGATGCGTCAGACTCATCTTGTGTTTTCCTTGTTCAGTCCTAGAATCAGCTACTTTTCTAAAGACATATGTTTTCTTTTATCAGAGAATGGTTATTAGAAACCAAGATCTGGGTGCTTATTGCTACTGAGATATCAGTGTCTTCTAAACCCTCTCTGCTGATAGACTAAGAGATATATATGTACATACTAACTCATGTATGTATACATATCTATAAATATTTTTCTGTGTAACTAATTCATGTCTCTTTTAGATAACTAGTTAATACTGATGTCTCTGACCCTAATCTCTTACCATACAGTACAGTGGTTTCAAAATTTTTATCTGTATTCTGTCAGTATATTTTAATACTTTTTTTTTTCTTTCACCCAGATTCGGGAACTGGAGCCTCTCCTCTGTCACAGTGACAATCCATCTCAGCTCATCTGGACATCATCTCGCAATGCAAGGAAATCTAATTTCAGCCTCGAGGACTTCCAGCACAGCAAAGGCAAGGAACCCTACAGCTCTTCCAAATATGCCACTGACCTTTTGAGTGTGGCTTTGAACAGGAACTTTCAACCAGCAGGTAAGGCCTGTCTCAGTGACGGAAATGGCAGAGGAGGGTTCTCTTAATTACCTGCTGTTGATTTCCTAATAAGGTAGCTGGCTTTCCACTAACTCTTGTAGTTTAGATTGATATTTGGTGTATATGAAAGTGTTAGGGCAGAGATAATTGGCTCCTGACATTATAGTTATAGGTAGTTCATTCATCATTCTGTGGTTCTTCAGGAATTCTAACTTATGTTAACAGAGTGACACTACTAAAAGTGATAATAGCTACTGTTTTGGTACTTGCTGTGTTTCAGGTGCTGTATTCGTCTGTGTATGTCATTAAATACCTGCCTCATTACATGGAGGTGGGTCTAAGTATTACCATTTTCAGATGAGGACACTAAATCTCGGAGAACTTAAGTCATTTACCTGATGGTCACACAACTTGTAAATGGTAGAGCTCAGAATTGAGCCCGAGGCTGACTTTATAGCTTGGACTTTTCCCACTGTACCATGCTGCCTCCTAGTGTTTGTCATAGCAGACGTTTATAGGACAGTCAAGTAGTTATAAAACCTTCTAGATAGTGGTGGTTTTAGCTAAGACTCCAGAGCTCTGTCTCTATGAGGATCTCAGTTTATGGGATGTTT
Source organism: Homo sapiens (assembly GCF_000001405.40). Taxonomy (NCBI): domain Eukaryota; kingdom Metazoa; phylum Chordata; class Mammalia; order Primates; family Hominidae; genus Homo; species Homo sapiens. The sequence continues at coordinate 3,072 of NW_021160000.1, forward strand.
TTCAGGGGATGGCGACCCTTGTTGGTCATACTGAGTCCTTGTTGCCACTATGGTTTGCAGCTTACTGCTTCTTTGTATGTCTCTGTTGCCCAGGTCTAAATTCTGACCTGAAAATCTCCAGTCTTCCCCTTGGACATTTTCTTTTGTTTGCTTTGATTAACAGCGTTGTATGAGTATGGGGCTATGGAGAAGTTTAATTTCACTAACATTTACAAAAGACCTATCATGTTTAGGGCACTGGGCCAGGTTTAGGGTTGAGGAGGAAAGTGAAATAAGAAGATGATCAAGAATTATGTTTTACTTCAACGGAGCTTCTTGGATCATGAATTAGACATAGAAATATAACTCTTACGTGATGGTCTAGACCTGGCTTATTCTGGAATTGCTACCTTTATCAGGTGTTATTCTGTGTTCTGGCTCTTAGAATGATGCCCCCCTTTTTTTTTTTGAGACAGAGTCTCATTCTGTTGCCCAGGCTGGAGTGCAGTGGCACAATCTTGGCTCGCTGCAACCTCTATCTTCTTAATTCAAGTGATTCTTGTGCCTCAGCTTCTCGAGTAGCTGGGATTACAGGGATGTGCCACCACACCCAATTTTTGTGTTTTTAGTAGAGACAGGGTTTTACTATGTTGGCCAAGCTGGTCTCGAACTCCTGACCTCAGGTATCTGCCTGCCTCAGCCTCCCAAAATGCTGGGATTACAGTGCTTGCACCCAGCCTGAATCATGCCTCTTATAAAGTTGAAGCTAAGAGCATACTTTCTAGAACTGAATTTGAATCCTGACTCTTTGTAACCCTAGGCATATTATTTAATCTCCCTATGCCTCAGTTTCCTCATCTGAAAAATAGGGATAGTAATAGTGCCTGCCTCACAGATTTATTGGGAAGATTGACTGAGGGGGATCTGTATGAAGCACTCACAGCAGTGTTTTGTATTCAGAATGTGAGTTTGTATGTACATGTGTCTGTACAAATATGTACATGTGGATATACATGAGTGTGGGTATGTATTTGTGTGCCTACCCATGTGTAGCGGGTTCATATGTACATGTACAGGTTTTGTGGGTGTGTGCACATGTGTTTGTGAATGTATTTTTTGGGTGTGTGCATGTGTGTAGGTGTCAGTGCATGTGGTCTGCACATGCATGTACATGTTCTTGTATTGGCTGTTAATATTGCAGGTTGGACTCAGCATGTTGGCCCAATTGTGCACCTCCTTCTGAAGTTTCTTGAGATGTTTAAAAACTTGTCACAACTGCTTCCTGATACTCTGAGAACTCCCTTTTAGAGGGATTAGCTTTTCCTTTCATAAAAAGGTCTGGGATTCTATTTAAGTCTCAATTATCAAGTAAGCTTTGGGATTTTATCTTTTACGAAGGAGGGAGATTTAGCTATTGCTTGTAAAATCTGTTGAGATTGGTTCTCAGCCAATGACTTTTTCTTCTTGGCCTTTATGAGGAAAGAAGCAGCTGAGAAAGAATAACATTACAGGATTCCTTTTGAAGCCCTGTGTTACTGGAAATGTTGTCAGGTTCTATATAGACTGCCTGATAGACTTTAATTATCCATGCATGCTCCCCCACTCAAGCTGTATAGAAATATTCAGGATCATCACAATTAATCCCTATAATTAAACAAATGGAAGGATACAGTCTTGGTTAAGATTGTCTTCTTCTTTCTTTTTTGTTTATCTCTCAACATCAGAGAATTATATACGTTGGAAACGCTGGATTTTAGTTTGAAGATTTCTTTGTTTAGGACAGAATAGTCCCCAAGTGATCCTAGGAAGCGCCTAGAATAAGAACTTTTCCTTAGCTGTTTTAGCGGCAGAGTACATTATTTGCTTAGGAAAAACTTTTGGACTATCATGAGGATAAGTCTTAGCTCTTGACTTTTTTCTAGAGGATTGTTGGTAAATCAAGGGGATTCTCAGGGATGGTTGATCCATGTCAGGCAGTGCCAAGCCTCTGCAGTACCAAATAAAGGATGAAAAGCCTCCAGGTTCTGTTGCTTAGGGTGCTGTCTGTCCGTTGAACTGTCTGTTAAACTGGCACTTCCTATTTTTTTATTTAAAAGAAAAAATGAGTTTAAAAATGATAAAAATGAGTTAAAATAGTCAATATCAAAATAAAGTAAAATGTATAGTATAAATTAAACTAAATAAAATAGTAAAACAAATCCCAATAAGAGGCATGATCCCAGGGCTCCAGGACTTAACTATAGATCACATAGGACCCTTTGGATTAACCTAAGCTCTGTGTTAATTGGGGCTCTCTTTGTAGGGTGGAACTTTCTAAAATGAGTTCTAGGCTAAGGACCTGATTTAGAGATCTTCAGTTGGAGAAAGTTTTGTGATAGCACATACAGCCTAATGCCGGGAGCACCCACCTCAAGCTAGAGGTATGGGTCTTATGTACTTGCAGGGAAACAGACACATACTTTAGGTTTAGCTGTCTATTTATTAGGCCAGAAACTTCTCGAAGGCAAGGACTGTACTCCGTACATCTTTTAATCTTAAATGCTCATTATGATTAAAAAGCTGATCTTCAGTTAAGCCAATAATAGGGAAAACTCAGATAACCAGGCCCTGCTTTTCTCCCCCAGCTTTAAGATTGGTTATTTTTTATACTGCAAGGTTCATGAGAATAGAGACTTTGTCCCACTAATTTTTGCATCCTGGGTGCCTCTCACAGTGGGTTCTCTTAATACATGATTCTTCAACATAAACGTTTTACCCAACTTCAGAGACAACTCAGAACATAAATTCTTTATTACCTGACTTCTGGCTCATGTACATACCTCTTTTATTAACTAGCATGTAGCTGGACTGAGTCAATATACACTGAGTTAAAGTCTCATTGCTACACCTCTCTGTTCCTAGGGTCTCTATTCCAATGTGGCCTGTCCAGGTACAGCATTGACCAATTTGACATATGGAATTCTGCCTCCGTTTATATGGACACTGTTGATGCCGGCAATATTGCTAGCAAGTGATGAATACTTCTTTTCTTAACTCATAAAAATCTCTTTTTGGGACCTAGAAGATATGTTTAAAGGTTGGGAAATGATTTAAGGAATTGAACCTGAATGCCATTTAACTTGAGGTTTTTGAACTTAATGTGAAACCTCTGCTTAATATTTCTAAGTGTTACTGCCACACCACCATTTGAGTGTCCACTTCTCTTTAAAGGAATGTTTCATTGCTCATGCACCACAGATCCCAAGAGTTCTGTAATCATATAATTTTAGAAAACCCATGTTGAACATTGTTAAACTGGACTTCTCTAAGTTTTCAAACTGATCCTGTGCATCAAAAGTTCCCAAGAAGGGGATAATTGTGTACTATGTAACTATACAACCATATTTTTGTTTTGTGATTTGAACGTCTTGCAGGACCATTGTTTCTGTGGCACATCTTGAAAAATGCTACTTTTAGGAATGATTCTCTCTTTAGGGCTCAGGAAGAAGTGTCTCTTCCTTAGGGCAGGCATAAAGTAAAGATCAGAAGTAAATAGGCCTTCATGTTAAAAGTAGTTGATTTGGAATAATGGAGATTAAATGATGTTTCTTTTTTGACTTCTTTATTTTTTGTTACTTAAAAAGTGTTCTATAATCAGAAAGGCAGGGTTTTTAAAAATATTTAAATGAATAATTCTTTCATGACTCTATTCTAAACCACCAAAAAATAACTGTTGTTTTCTTTTCTGCAGCTTCGCTTTTTTGCAAATGCATTCACTTTGACACCATATAATGGAACAGAAGCTCTGGTATGTTACTGAAGTTTTTATAACTTGTATGATGACTTAGCAGATGTGAATTATAGGTTCACTCGTAGTAGAAATAATTTCAACAGAAAAGATAATAAGAGAATAAGCTCTGTGAATAATTGAGGTCCCGTTTGGAACTAAAGTGGACTATAAGGCTAAGCACAGAACATTAGGAGTGAAGTTTGCAAGTTTAACATCTACCATGGCACTGGGCACCATGACTGTAGGGAAAGCACTTCTTTAGAGGCAAGATACACCAGCAGCTAGAGGAGAGACAGAGCAATGGGAAGCTGGAGGGACAGGCAGAGCAGGACGGTGACTGCACAATCAGTCTGTGATTTCCCGTGGAGAAAGAGCATTTTGTGGGTCAAGAGCCAGGACAACAAGGTTCAACACCATTCCCCTCTATAAAGATTTTCTTCCCTCTCTTAGAAGATCAAGTTGTTATTTTATTAGGAAGCCAGTGGAGTTAAATCACACGTGGCAAATGGGTTGCATGTGTCTCCTCATCAATGGCAGACATTACTAATGGGCTATAATACTCCTTTCTGCTATACACACGTGATGTCTCTGAATATTCTTCAACCCAGAGCTCCAGAGGCAGCCTCTACTAACGGTTCAGAATTGTCATACATAAAAAGTCCATTGTATCTGAGTCAGTTCTTTACATTTGTCTCCCTCATTCCATTGAACTCCTTCAGGATTTTTGCTATTCACTTTGGAAACCTGAGGACCTAGCATTGTAGTACTTAGTAGATTCTTAAATCTTAATTGAGATTAGCTAAGGAAAACATAAATGGAATTGGCTTTGATGCTCTTGTTTTGGTAAGTGTTACAGAAATAAATACATTTATTGTGGGAATACAAATTGGTTGTAGAAGCAAGTGCTTTTAAACTATATTTTAATTGGTTCTCAATATATTTGCCAAACCATTCACTGATGATATTTGAGAGGATGTTTATAATTTGTCTGGGGAGCTCTATAAAGTGCAGATAGTGACTCTCCACCAGCCTCACTCACCTTGGGCAGAAGAAACAAATCATTGACACATCCTTCCTTTCCAGGTATGGCTTTTCCACCAAAAGCCTGAATCTGTCAATCCTCTGATCAAATATCTGAGTGCCACCACTGGCTTTGGAAGAAATTACATTATGACCCAGAAGGTAAATGTGCTTACATTGTTGCACTGATGTTTGCTGTTGGGTTGATGAATTAAGCCCGTGTTCCTGACCAGCCCCTCAGCCCCCCAGCTTCGCTTCTCTGGGTACTCACTGTTCACCAGCATCACACGGGCCTGATTTTATTTCATCCTGCTCTCTCCTGCTTCTCGCACATCTTATTCCCCCGACTTGAGCTGCTCTCAGCCTCTCGATGATTGATTTGTGCTCATCCTTCAGATCAGTTTATCCCATAGCCTTTAGTGACCCCGTAGACTGGGCCTGGGTGCCTCTGTAATAGGCTTTCTTGACATCTCATACCTGTTGCAGATCATGCTTGTTCACCTTCGGGTTCCCCTGTCAGAATGTAAGCTCTGTGAGGAGGAGGGTCGTACCCCATTTCCTAGCAGGCTGCCTTACACACGGTAGACGCTCAGTAAATACGTTGCAAGTTGAATGAAATATGAAGTGTTTTTCTGTGTGAAGTTAACTTCCCTTTGAGTATTCAATTCTGCTTGTGACAATTGTCAGCTTTAATAGATGGTGTTTTGAGGAGGAACAGAATAATGTGCAGAAAAAAAAGTCAGTACTGTGTTTTTTAGACTTGGTATAATCTAAAATGAAATCAAACATAGAGTTACATACTGGGGAATAAGAAAATTTATTTTAAACTAAGAGAACTACTTTGTTGTACTTTTGTCATGCGTAAGGTTTATTTCAGCCCCTGATTTTCCACTGTCCAGCCTGTTGTGAGGAGACATTAGCATAAGATAAAATGAGATTGAGGTGACTGTTATCGCAGGTAAGTCAACTAACTGGCATTGATCTTGGCCTCTGTTAGTAGCATGAGTTAAAAGGGGAGCCATGCACTTGGCTTCCTGTGCTATCTGTTCACTAAAAGTGAACCTTCCAGGTTTTTCAAAATATGTTCTGTGGGATACTAGTTTCCTGAGAAGATTTGCAAGAAGTAGTTCCTCTAGCAAGTAAAATGGAACCATGCTTCATATTACATTCCCCTCTTTCAGAGACTTGTACAGCATACATCAGCAAAGTAAAGGCTGTGAGAAGTTGAAACAGTTAAGAAATGTGTGTGAAATATTTTATCCTGCTGTTTTCAGTACTTCACCATGAATTTTTTTTTAAAGCAAATTTTACATAACCTGTAACATCCCTTTGGGGAATTCTATTGTAAACTAATAGCTTACTTTAGGCTAGCAGGGTGTATTTGAACTTACTATCTATTAACTTAGAATGAATGATTTGTTTATCAAGGGGAAAATGTTTAGTTGTACAAACTGACATACTCATTAGCATTTTATGGAAATGCATTGAAGAAAGTATTTTAACCTTTGATTAATTTGGGGAAGTCAGCTTTCTCTTCTGTTAAAAGATGGGGTTGAACTAGAAGAGTTCTGTAATGCTTCTTCCAGTTCCATTATGGAAAAACTCTAACTTGATTGAAGATAAATGTTACTTTCTTTCTTTTATTTTAAATTATTATTATACTTCAAGTTCTAGAGTACATGTGCACAACGTGCAGGTTTGTTACATATGTATACATGTGCCATGTTGGTGTGCTGCACCCAATAACTCATCATTTACATTAGGTATATCTCCTAATGCTATCCCTCCCCACTACACCCACCCCACAACAGGCCCCAGTGTGTGAGGTTCCCCTTCCTGTGTCCATGTGTTCTCATTGTTCAGTTCCCACCTATGAGTGAGAACATGCGGTATTTGGTTTTTTGTCCTTGTGATAGTTTGCTGAGAATGATGGTTTCCAGCTTCATCCATGTCCCTACAAAGGATATGAACTCATCCTTTTTTATGGCTGCATAGTATTCTATGTGGTATATGTGCCACATTTTCTTAATCCAGTCTATCATTGATGGACATTTGGGTTGATTCCAAGTCTTTGCTATTGTGAATAGTGCCGCAGTAAACATACATGTGCATCTGTCTTTATAGCAGCATGATTTATAATCCTTTGGGTATATATCCAATAATGGGATGGCTGGGTCAAATGGTATTTCTAGTTCTAGATCCTTGAGGAATTGCCACACTGTCTTCCACAATGGTTGAACTAGTTTACAGTCCCACCAACAGTGTAAAAGTGTTCCTATTTCTCCACATACTCTCCAGCACCTGTTGTTTCCTGACTTTTTAATGATCGCCATTCTAACTGGTGTGAGATGGTATCTCACTGTGGTTTTGATTTGCATTTCTCTGATGGCCAGTGATGATGAGCATTTTTGCATGTGTCTTTTGCTTGCATAAATGTCTTCTTCTGAGAAGTGTCTGTTCATATCCTTTGCCCACTTGTTGATGGGGTTGTTTGTTTTTTTCTTGTAAATTTGAGTTCATTGTAGATTCTGGATATTAGCCCTTTGTCAGATGGGTAGATTGTGAAAATTTTCTCCCATTCTGTAGGTTGCCTTCCTCTGATGGTAGTTTCTTTTGCTTTGCAGAAGCTCTTTAGTTTAATTAGATCCCATTTGTCAATTTTGGCTTTTGTTGCCATTGCTTTTGGTGTTTTAGACATGAAGTCCTTGCCCATGCCTATGTCCTGAATGGTATTGCCTAGGTTTTCTTCTAGGGTTTTTATGGTTTTAGGTCTAACATTTAAGTATTTAATCCATCTCAAATTAATTTTTGTATAAGGTGTAAGGAAGGGATCGAGTTTCAGCTTTCTACATATGGCTAGCCAGTTTTCCCAGCACCATTTATTAAATAGGGAATCCTTTCCCCATTTCTTGTTTATGTCAGGTTTGTCAAAGATCAGATGGTTGTAGATATGCGGCATTATTTCTGAGGGCTGTGTTCTGTTCCATTGGTCTATATCTCTGTTTTGGTACCAGTACCATGCTGTTTTGGTTACTGTAGCCTTGTAGTATAGTTTGAAGTCAGGTAGCGTGATGCCTCCAGCTTTGTTCTTTTGGCTTAGGATTGTCTTGGCAATGCGGGCCCTTTTTTGGCTCCATATGAACTTGAAAGTAGTTTTTTCCAATTCTGTGAAGACAGTCATTGGCAGCTTGATGGGGATGGCATTGAATCTATACATTACCTTGGCCAGTATGGCCATTTTCATGATATTAATTCTTCCTATCCATGAGCATGGAATGTTCTTCCATTTGTTTGTGTCCTCTTTTATTTCATTGAGCAGTGGTTTGTAGTTCTCCTTGACGAGGTCCTTCACATCTCTTGTAAGTTGAATTCCTAGATATTTTATTCTCTTTGAAGCAATTGTGAATGGGAGTTCACTCATGATTTGGCTCTCTGTTTGTCTCCTATTGGTGTATAAGAATGCTCGTGATTTTTGCACATTGATTTTGTATCCTGAGACTTTGCTGAAGTTGCTTATCAGCTTAAGGAGATTTTGGGCTGAGACAATGGGGTTTTCTAAATATACAATCATGTAATTTGCAAACAGGGACAATTTGACCTCCCCTTTTCCTAATTGAATACCCTTTCATTCTTTCTCCTGCCTGATTGCCCTGGCCAGAACTTCCAACACTATGTTGAATAGAAGTGGAGAGAGAGGGCGTCCCTGTCTTGTGCCAGTTTTCAAAGGGAATGCTTCTAGTTTTTGCCCATTCAATATGATATTGGCTGTGAGTTTGTCATAAATAGCTCTTATTATTTTGAGATATGTCCGATCAATACCTAATTTATTGAGAATTTTTAACACGAAGTGCTGTTGAATTTTGTCAAAGGCCTTTTCTGCATCTATTGAGATAATCTTGTGGTTTTTGTCTTTGGTTCTGTTTATATGCTGGATTACGTTTATTGATTTGCGTATGTTGAATCAGCCTTGCATCCCAGGGATGAAGCTCACTTGATCATGGTGGATAAGCTTTTTGATGTGCTGCTGGATTCGGTTTGCCAGTATTTTATTGAGGATTTTTGCATCAGTGTTCGTCAGCGATATTGGTCTAAAATTCTCTTTTTTTGTTGTGTCTCTGTCAGGCTTTGGTATCAGGATGATGCTGGCCTCATAAAATGAGTTAGGAAGGATTCCCTCTTTTTCTATTGATTGGAATAGTTTCAGAAGGAATGGTACCAGCTCCTCCTTGTACCTCTGGTAGAATTCGGCTGTGAATCTGTCTGGTCCTGGGCTTTTTTTGGTTGGTAGGCTATTATTGCCTCAATTTCAGATCCTGTTATTGGTCTATTCAGGGATTTGACCCCTTCCTGGTTTAGTCTTGGGAGGGTGTAAGTGTCCAGGAATTTATCCATTTCTTCTAGATTTTCTAGTTTATTTGCGTAGAGGTGTTTATAGTATTCTCAGATGGGATCGGTGGTGATATCCCTTTTATCATTTTTTATTGCGTCTATTTGATTCTTCTCTCTCTTCTTCTTTATTAGTCTTGCTAGCAGTCTGTCAATTTTGTTGATCTTTTCAAAAAACCAGCTCCTGGATTCATTGATTTTTTGAAGGGTTTTTTTGTGTCTCTATCTCCTTCAGTTCTGCTCTGATCTTAGTTATTTCTTGCCTTCTGCTAGCTTTTGAATGTGTTTGCTTTTGCTTCTCTAGTTCTTTTAATTGTGATGTTAGAGTGTCAATTTTAGATCTTTCCTGCTTTCTCTTGTGGGCTTTTAGTGCTATAAATTTCGCTCTACACACTGCTTTAAATGTGTCCCAGAGATTCTGGTGTGTTGTGTCTTTGTTCTCATTGGTTTCAAAGAACATCTTTATATCTGCCTTCATTTCGTTATGTACCTCGTAGTCATTCAGGAGCAGGTTGTTCAGTTTCCATGTAGTTGAGTGGTTTTGAGTGAGTTTCTTAATCCTGAGTTCTAGTTTGATTGCACTGTGGTCTGAGAGACAGTTTGTTATAATTTCTGTTCTTCCACATTTGCTGAGGAATGCTTTACTTCCAACTATGTGGTCAATTTTGGAATAAGTGCTGTGTGGTGCTGAGAAGAATGTATATTCTGTTGATTTGGGGTGGAGAGTTCTGTAGATGTCTATTAGGTCTGCTTGGTGCAGAGCTGAGTTCAATTCCTGGATATCCTTGTTAACTTTCTGTCTCGTTGATCTGTCTAATGTTGACAGTGGGGTGTTAAAGTCTTCCATTATTATTCTGTGGGAGTCTAAGCCTCTTTGTAGGTCTCTAAGGACTTGCTTTATGAATCTGGGTGCTCCTGTACTGGGTGCATATATATTTAGGATAGTTAGTTCTTCTTGTTGAATTGATCCCTTTACCATTATGTAATGGCCTTCTTTGTGTCTTTGATCTTTGTTGGTTTAAAGTATGTTTTATCAGAGACTAGGATTGCGACCACTGCCTTTTTTTGTTTTCCATTTGCTTGGTAGATCTCCCTCCATCCCTTTATTTTGAGCCTATGTGTGTCTCTGCACATGAAATGGGTCTCCTGAATATAGCACACTGGTGGGTCTTGACTCTTTATCCAATTTGCCAGTCTGTGTCTTTTAGTTGGATCATTTAGCCTATTTACATTTAAGGTTAATATTGTTATGTGTGAATTTGATCCTGTCATTATGATGTTAGCTGGTTATTTTGTTTGTTAGTTGATGCAGTTTCTTCCTAGCATCGCTGGTCTTTACAATTTGGCATGTTTTTGCAGTGGCTGATACCGGTTGTTCCTTTCCATGTTTAGTGCTTCCTTCAGGAGTTCTTGTAGGGCAGGCCTGGTGGTGACAAAATCTCTCAGCATTTGCTTGTCTGTAAAGTATTTTATTTCTCCTTCACTTATGAAGCTAAGTTTGGCTGGATATGAAAATCTGGATTGAAAATTCTTTTCTTTAAGAATGTTGAATATCGGCCCCCACCCTCTTCTGGCTTGTAGAGTTTCTGCCAAGAGATCTGCTGTTAAGTCTGATGGGCTTCCCTTTGTGGGTAACCCGACCTTTCTCTCTGGCTGCCCTTAAAAATGTTATTTTCAAAATGTTCAAAAGTTTATTTAATTTTTAGCCTTTCAATTTTGTGAACAAAGAGGCTGTTCTTGAAGTTTAGGCTCTGTGTTGGCTTGATAAAAGGATATCACTATTTTAAAAGGGCTGAAAGTTTGCCTGTACATACTGTCGAGATTTTCTGCATGAAACACAAGAATGTAAAATAACTATAGATTAAACTAGATAGAATCTTAAATTTCTTGCCTGTAAAAGCATTTAGGAGAGAGGCAGTCTCAGGCTGCCATGGCAAGTCCACAAATTGTCAGGTACTCAAGTTCCTTGCAATCACCACCTGGCCATCTTTAGGGCGTGGCCCTCAGGCTTGTGGCTCGAGAGTGGTATGGAAGAAGGGAAGAAAAAAGGGATGCTTTATTTCTCTTGAAGAGACTCCAGGTATTATTTACATCTCACTAGCCAGAACATAGTCTCATGGCTCTGGCACCCATTGTTTCAATGGGGGCTGAAGTATCGTCTTATATCCAGAGGGCAGTGAGCCCAGCTAAAACCAGGGCTCTTTTACTAAGCCAGATTGATATTAGGAAGTGAGTAGTCGTTAAAAATTCACAAAACTCTTGATTTTTCTGTTTTGTCCTTTGATAACACAGTTGGTTGGTGTCTTCTGTTACTGGGCATATAAAAGTTGGGGGAGATAGCAAAACTCAGATCTTTCAGTCTTGCTGTTTAAGGGAAGCATCAGTGGGTTTGGTTGGTGAGTGTTGGAACTGAGACTGAGATTTAGTATGTCTTCAGGCTCTCAGCTTCTTCCACGTGTCTGCCACCGTGGCCCTTTCTTGCTGCCTCCTTTCTTTTTATTTCATATATTGAATGCCTTTTTTTTATACAAATACTATTCATCTTATTTTTCCTTTCTAGACATCTCTATGTTTGCTTCTTTTCCAGATGGACCTAGATGAAGACACTGCTGAAAAATTTTATCAAAAGTTACTGGAACTGGAAAAGCACATTAGGGTCACTATTCAAAAAACAGATAATCAGGCCAGGCTCAGTGGCTCATGCCTATAATTCCAGCACTTTGGGAGGCCAAGGCAGAAGGATCACTTGAGACCAGGAGTTCGAGACCAGCCTGAGAAACATAGTGAGCCCTTGTCTCTACAAAAAGAAATAAAAATAATAGCTGGGTGTGGTGGCATGCGCATGTAGTCCCAACTACTCAGGAGGATGAGGTGGGGGGATCTCTTGAGGCTGGGAGGCGGAGGTTGCAGTGAGCTGAGATTGTGCCACTGCACTCCAGCCTGGGTGACAGCGAGACCCTGTCTCAAAACATATATATATTTAATATATATGTAAAGCCAGAGCTGACAATGACACTCTGGAACATTGCATACCTTCTGTACATTCTGGGGTACATGGATTTCTACTGAGTTGGATAATATGCATTTGTAATAAACTATGAACTATGACTCTCTTTTCCTTCCTTTTGGAATTATCTCCAAGACTGTGTATGTGTATGCATATGAGAAAAAGATTGGGCCGGGCACGGTGGCTCAAGCCTGTAATCCCAGCACTTTGGGAGCCTGAGGTGGGCGCATCATGAGGTCAGGAGTTTGAGACCAGCCTGGCCAACATGGCAAAAACCCATCTCTACTAAAAATACAAAACTTAGCCAGGTGTGGTGGCGTGCACCTGTAATCTCAGCTACTTGGGAGGCTGAGACAGGAGAATCACTTGAACTCAGGAAGCAGAGGTTGCAGTGGGCCGAGATCGCGGCACTGTACTGCAGCCTGGGTGACAGAGCAAGACTCCATCTCAAAAATAAAAAATTGATTAAGTAAAAATATTAATTAGTTATTCTCTAGAGTGGTATCACATCAAAATTATTAGAGTTCTTTTCTGAAAGATTTTATGTAAAAATAAAAATTATTCGAGTCACCCAACAGAGTATCTGTTTATATTATTCTGCCAACTGGGGCCTAAGCTGTGCTCCATGGGACAAGAGGTGGACTTGAATAATTGTGACACAGGCACACACTGCTCCTTTCTTTGGCCTGCCCCCAGCAAAAGGAAGTACTGCCCACTATCTGAGTGGCAGTCGGAACTTCGTTGCTTTATGAGCAATTTTTTTAGCTCTTTTGCCTTATTTCTTCCTCCATATGTTGCTTCTGACAATCTTAAGATTGTTAGAATCCTAACAATCCTCATGTGGGTGCCCATGTGGTTAATAACAAAAACCAAATAGATAGATGTTTGGGTCACTTGAATTATTTCTTGTTTAAAAAATATCTTTTATTGATTCTGAGGGAGTTCATGCTAATATTGGGCCCGACCCTTAACACTATTTGCATATTTATTAGTGACCAACACATTTTCATGATCATATCTTAATAGTTGTAAACTTGCAGCAAGAAATTATTCACTCACATTAAGTTTCAATAAAATTTTCTAACTGGGTAACTGCTGGTGTAAGGTACACTATAGTGAGGATTTAGTTTACATGTATCAGATAATCATGCAAACTTTATAAATTTTCAAAGAACCACACCCCAGGCCTCATTTGATATGAAGAAAAATGATAAAATGCTGTATATTTTTACTTTAAATATAACCAATGTAATGCCTGAAATCTAAAGTCAGTAAAATTTTGAATGACTTGACAAAAGTAAAAAATGATATATAATTTCCTCACAGTTTAAAGTATGAAGCTTTTGGTTCTAGTTTCTCTAATTTTGTTGTTAAAGGTTTTCTATAAACATTCTGTAAGTGAAAATGAGAGCTGCACACCACTGTGTCCACCGTCTTTGGGAGAGAAGGGTGAAGTTGACCTGAAATCAGAGCTGTTTTTCACTCTTCCATTCACTCACATTGTAAATTTGGAAGAAGCACATTATCTGTTGTGAATCTCAGGTTCCTCATATGTAAAGTGGAGTGGTTATCTTTTTGCTGCTTCTACTCATGGGTATGGAGTGAAGATTTAATGCAATAATATATGTGAATGAATAAAGAGCTTTTTTTGGCACATTGTAATAATTTTTACTGGAGATTGAATATGCCAGAGTATCATGGTTCAAATGCTACGGTGTAAGGCACTGAGTGATCACTTCCTATCTGGTAGAGTTGGTTAATTTTCCAAGTTTGACCCGGAAGCAGCATCTGATCAAGTGGGAGGGCATGGTGGGAGGAGTATGGGCTTTAGGGCTGGGAAGACCTTGGATCAGATTAGGATTTAGCCAGTTAACTATCTGTATGGAGTTCGAGACCAGTTGTATAACTTTGGGCAAGTTACTTCAATGTGTACCTCAGTTTAATTACATAAAGTATTGATGCCAGTGCCTACCTTGCAGAATTGTGATAATATCCTAGTAGGTGCACAGTCAATGCAAATTGGTACTGAATTCTGTTCTACGTTAAGTACCCAAAAGGAAGCTTTAAACATGAACCAATCTTGATTTCACGTCATTGATGATGTGTCACTAGGTTGGTGCTGTGCGTATTTTCTGAGCCATTTTATCCAATTTCCTCAAAATAGGGAACACTCCCTTCCCACACTCCCAAATGATGTACCTGTATAATTGGTTCCTTTCATTAAACAATCCTAGGTTTCACTGTTTTTGTATCTGACTGGAGTAGTAAGTTAAAGATTCAACTGCTAGGAAGTTGGATTTCAGCAGATGCCTGCTTTCTGCCTTGATCTGGTACATTTATTTTGATTTCCAATGGGTTCAGTATAATTCATTCATTCCACAGATGAGCACCGACCACATGCCAGGCACTGCTGGGTTTTGAGGATATAGAAGTTAACATATGAATGATAGAGTGAGACATCTCAAATGCTTCTAGGCATTCTAGAAAGAATTGAGAACATGGGAAAGAGGCAACTTTGAGGAGATGAAGGCTGAGTTTTTTTTTTTTTTTTTTTTTAGAATTGATGGAAGCCATGATCATCAGATTCAGGAAAAATGGCAAGTTCCACACAAGATAGACACAGATAAAGAAAAACCTAGACATAGTGAAACTGCAGAGAACCAAAGAAACTAACTTGCAAAAACAACTGGAGACAATAGATTATTGACAAAAATCACTGGGTGGATTAGCTAATGCCTATAATCCCAGCACTTTGGGAGGCCAAAGTGGAAGGATAGCTTAAGGCCAGGAGTTAGAGACCAGCCTGGGCAACATAACGAGATGCTGTCTTTACCAAAAATAAATCATTTCTTTTTAATATTGTTGGATTTGCTTTGCTAATATTTTATGGAGAATTTATGTGTCTAAGTTCATGAAAGATATTGGCCTGTACTTTTTTTTGGTTTTGACTGGTTTGGTTATTTGGCAATAGCAACCTCATAAAATGAGTTGAAGTGTTCTCTCACCTTCTGTATTCTGGAATATTATATAACATTGGTGTTAATTCTTCTTTAAATATTTGGTAGAATTCACCAGTGAAACCATCTGGGCCTGGAGATTTATTTTATGAATCTTTAAAATTATGCATGTAATTGTTAATGATGATAAAACTATTCAGATTTTCTGTTTTATCTTGTGTTTTTGTCATTTGTACTTTTTAAGGAATTGGTCAATTATTTCTAAGTTTTCAAATTTATTAGCATAAAAGTTGCTTGTAGTAGTATTTTCTTTTTAATGGCTACGAGATCTGTAATGATGTTCTGTATTTCGTTCTTGATGTTAATGTCTTCTCTTTTTTAGTTTTTGTCAGTCTTGCTAGGAGTTTCTCAATTTTAATGGTATTTTCCTAAGAACCAACTTTTTGTTTGGTAAATTTTCCCAATTGTTTTCCTATTACCAATTTCACTGATTTCGGCTCAGATCTTTTCTATTTCCTTCCTTCTGCTTGCTTGGATTTATTTTGTTCTTCTTTCTCTACTTTCTTGCTGTAAAAAAATTATTAACTTGAAATTTTTCCTCTTATCATAAGCATTTAGAACTATAAATTTTCTTCTTAGCACTATTCTAGCTGCATGCCAGATTTTTTGACACATTCTTTTTTATTAAGTTGTATATATTTTTATTAACTTCCTTTGATACTTTCTCTTTACTCATGGATTATTTAGAAATATTGTTTAATGTACATATTTTTAGAGATTTTAAAAAACTTGTTATTGATTTCTGACTTTTTTTGTTTTGATTTCCAGTTTTATTCTATTACAGTCAGAGATCACATTCTGTCTGATTTCTATACCGTTAAATTTGTTGAGGTTTGTTTTATGGCCTAGGATAAGGCCTGCTTTGGTGAATGTCTCATGGGCTGTCCTCCACACTGTACCTGCTGTTGTTTCTTCTTCGGAATTCTAAGGTAATTGGTTTTTTTTTTTTTTTTGCCTTTTTTCCACAGTTAATAGTTGTTCTTCAGGAAGGATGGTCTGTAGGTGGGGTACATTGCTATAATTAAAAGCAAGACTTCTCCGCACTTTTTAGTTCCATCTTTATTTCTGTATGATTTTACTTTCTTCTGTTTCTTTCCTGAGTATAATCAGTTTTTGTTTTATTTCTTCCTGTTCTTTGTCCATTTCTGTTTTTAAAATTTTTGATCCATAGTATTTTTTAATATCTCCAAATGCTTGTTTAAGGATATTTAATTCTGTTTCATTGGGTTAGTATTTTCTTCTCCCTTGTAGTTGTTTTCTTGGGCATGGGAGATGGTGGTTATTGTGGTTGTCAGCTCAAACTTTTTTTCCCTCATTTTGTTTGCTTCACTTCTCAGCAAAGTCTTCTGGTCACCCAGTCTAAAATTTCATCATGCCCCTCATATCTTCTAATCTTTCTTATCTACCTTTTTTTTTCCTTTTTGCTGCTTATTACTATCTAACATATGTATTTTACATATCTTGTCTATTGCCTTTCAACCTACCGAAGTATAAGCTCCAAGATGATTGGGACTTTTAAAAAAATTGTTTCGCCACTATTAATGCAAGGCACATAGTAGGCACTCGATTACTGCTTGTTGTATAAATAAATATATGAACAATTGATTAAACAAAGGTTTATTTGAATTAAGGTATCATGAAATGGTGTTTGCAGTACCAAGTCAGAGTTTATTGAGGTTCTGTCTGCTGTCATTGTCATGTTAGAATATTGCCTTGTGCTGATACAATTCCTTCTCATGAAAAACAAAAAACACTAAGAACAACAAGAATGTAGAATGAGTCTTATTCCTACTAATGGAACTCCACGCAATAATCCATGTTTCTTGTCTGCCACCTGAAAATGTGAACAAATTTCATTATCCAACAAGTCTCATTTGCTTATTATTTTTAATAACTATGACAATATACATAAAGGACTGTTGAAAATGGATAGTAATCCACTGGGTTAAAGAGAGCTCATCTCACCATTGCTGGAGGTTATTCCTCACTGTCTCATTTGACTCCTGTTTCAAAGAAGGGAATTATGGGAGGTTTTATAGCAGTTTATAGTGGAAAAGAGAAATTTCAGAGACTCTGGATGTTCAAGAAACATTTTTTGTTAGTGACTCATAAATAGGTTTAAATGTGGGTAGTTGACATAGATGATGCTTTAGATATAGGCTATGCGTGGATTTATTTTCTTTCTTAGGCTAGGAAGTAACTATCCCACCCTGCTGTATTTAACAGTCAAAATGATTCTATATTCTCTATATCTTTGATTGCAAAGTGATCTCTATTTATAACTATCATTTATATTCTACATTTGAAAGAAATATATTCACAAGCACCCAGGAAAAAAATGATTTATTATATATGCCATATGAGTAAGAATTAATTACTTATCATTTATAACAATGTAAAAAATCCTATCCCACACATTAGTTATGAGCCAGGCCGGAGGTATGGGGATTTGAAAAGAGATATGGATGATAGGAGGGAAAGGAAATGAAGGGAGAGTGTTTGAGTTAAGGCAGTAGTTTCCCCCTGCTTGAAACTGGAGGCAACTTCATTCCAGAGAGATCTACAGAGAAGTACAAGTTCTCTGTTATAAGGGGCTAAAAATAAATCACTTTATTCTTGGCCATCAAGGACTTAGTTCCGGCACATGATAGGAATTAGAGCTAGATTTTAAAGTTCAGGGTAGAAGTGGATGAAAAAAAATAGCAAATAATCAGCCACAGATAGAGCTGCCAGATTCTTATTGAGAGAATGGATGAATGGTTGTCCAGGAATAGGGTTATCATGACCAGGCGATGCTTCTCCATGTCCAGAAACTAAAATTTCTACATCAACACAACAAAAATCAAGAAGAAAATGTATGAGTTATTGGAAGTAAAACCAAGGGCTTAATTTGATTAGATCCACCAAACTTATCCTGCCCTGCTTGCTTTGGGTTGTTTGCTTGTTGCTTTTGTTTTTGTTTTTCCCTGAAGCTGAAGGCATGGTAGCTGAAGTCTGCACCACCGAATGCTGTAACTTAACCTTCACTGGCTACTTTACAGATAACATAAGTCACATGGTAGTGGTCACTTCAGTTGTTTTTTAGGAACTTAGGGCAGCTCCTGTCCAGTTCAAACCAGTTGAGACCACGTACCCTTCAACTAGGCATGTGCAGGTACCTGAGAGGGAAACTTTTGATGTCAGAGGCAAAAACTCCATTCTCAGATCATGCTAATGCTGATCTGAGACATATATCCTGTGAAATGCCATGAACCCTGATAATGCTGGCATAGATCACTGATTACCTCATTTTAACCCACTGCCAATCACCTTTCCCTATGCCTTAGACCACCTGCTTCTCTAATCCATAAATATTTCCTATCTTTGGGGAGGCAGATTTGAGAGCTGTTGTCCACCTCCTTGCTGGGATGCCTAATTAATCTTTTCTTTTGCAAAAACCCATTGTCCCAGTAATTTATTTACTGTGCAGGTAGAGTGAACCTGGCTGGTATCAAAAATACACAAAGAGACATCAACAAAATGATAGTATCATGATAACTGTCCTATACATAATACATTTTAATAACTTAAATACATGATTTCTTCAGTCATCTAGAGTTCTGTCTTTCTCTGTTACTTTTAGTAGGTCAGACAATTGTTCAAAGTTTGCAGCAGCTTGAAAGCAAATTCTTCAGTGAAAGGTGCCAGGTCTCTAGAGATAACAAGAAACTAGGTCTTTCTTACGTGGTTCTCATGGAAGTGATGGTGGGAGGGAGAGGCTGCTGGCCTTGCTCCAATGCCTTCAAGCCTTCCTGGAGTTCACCGTTTTTTTCTAGCTGTCATTCCCACATTATGATGAGTGTCAAACCTCCAAGATTAGGACCCTTTTCTGTTTTCCAGAGGGTGAGCTCTTCATGGGACAGCCATACTCCCAAGTTTCCACTCACTTTCTTACGTGACACCTCTGAGTCCAGGAACTTTCACATTGAGCCTTTGGGTCTGGCCCTGGAATAAGACTATTCTTATTTTCAGAGTTAGAGTTGTCAAATACTGATCTCTTGTCTTGAAAGGAGTTGGAGTGGGAGAAGGGTAGGGACTGAGTTCCTCTCAAATAATGAACATTTCTGAATTATCCAAAAATCTAAATGTCAAACAACCAAACAAATTGGTAGTATCAGTGATTTATTCCAAATAATTTTGGGACAAGTGGCTAGTAACCGGGAAAAAAAAAGTTGGAGCCTTCTATCACTGCTGTAGTAGGCAGAATTTAAAATATCCCCCATGACCTTTGCCCAGTTACTCTCATGATTGCATTGTTATGTGGCGCAGTTGTTATTAAAATAGGGAGATTATCCTGGATTATTCAGGTGGGCCACATGAGGCCTTTAAAGCTGTAGAGAAGGAGCAGAAGTTAAGTCAGATCTGCAGCTATAGTAGTGCTCTCCTGTGGACCCTGAAAGAGCAAACTACCTTCTGCAGAAAGGGCTACCTGACGGGATAGTGGGTGACCTCTAAAAGCTGAGGATCCCTCCCTCTGTCTTCCATCCCCACAAAGTTTATAAACTGCAAGAAAGTGGGACTGTGGACCTACCAAGCAAGGAACTGGTTTCTGCAAAGGGTCTAAGTGAACTTGGAAGCTGATTTGACCGAGAGCCTGCCTGGCTTTTATTTAGCCTAGTGGGACCCTGAGCCAGAAATCAGTCAGGCTATGCCAGGCTTCTGACCTACAGAACTCAGATAATAAACGTGTATTGTTTTAAACTGCTAAATTTGTGACAATTTGTTACAGCAGCAATAGAAGACTAATACAATTCTTTACACCCAAATAAATTCCATATGTATCAATGATGAATAAATATGATTACAAAATAATTAAAATTTCCTGTACAATAAATTATCACAAATAAAAATCAAAATTCAAATAACAAGCTGGGAAAATATTTGTAACATAGAAGCCAATTGGATAATTAACCTACTATTTAAATAATGTGCACAAATCAATAGTAAAATTTATTCTCACCCATAGTAAAATGAAATCAAATTAAAAGCACATGAGTTATCACCTTTTTGCTTATCATATTATCAAACACCAAAAAGTTTTGTTCAGGGTGTGAAAGAACAGGCACTTTCATTTCATATTGTTTGTGATGTAAATTGTTAATTCCTTTGAAAAGCAATTTGACAATACCAAAATTTTAAATGCACATACCTTTAATAATTCTACATTTTAAAATTTATCCTAAAGATACAACTCATTAATGTACCTAAAGATATTTATACAGGACTTCCATCACTTATGCAAAATGTGTACTAACCGTGCTTTAGAATTTAAAATTGCTTAGAGTTTAGAAAGATAAGTTGGTGCATACAATACAGTATGTTTTGCAATAATTCTACTGGGACCTGGGATAACAACCTGCAATCAAACCTAGCTATATGTTAGCAAAAAAGATACATGAATTCACATTAAGTAGTAGAAGTAAAGATGATAAATAGCCTCACCTCAGTACAGCTATAGTTCAGCTGCCAAATGAGTGTGCCAAAAATTTGAAAAGACTAAATTTTCATAGCTGTTTGGACTTTAGAATAGTGGGTAAAGGATTTTAGATCTGTACAAGAACAATTCATTGCAGCATTTTTTTCCTGTAATTTTCATGGAAATTTAGATAGTATCTGTCTCCTAATAGAAAATAGCACTTGAAAGTGACATTGAAAATGGCATTTGAAGGGTTGATATAATTCAGACTACTTTGGTTAATGTTTCTGTTCCTTTAATAAGCTCCAATGGAGATCAGAAATAAGAACATTTTGAATGTTTTTTTCTACATTATTTTTTCTGGTCATTTGCCCAGTTAGATGATGGAGTATGGATCATACTTAGGAGAATATGTGCAGTTTGCTGAAGTGTTCTAAGTTCTTCACTCATCCATATGGCTAATTAACCCAAACTTGGGCAGAGGTATTAAGTGATTTCCTTCTCAAGAAAAAGTCAAGGGTATTAATGTTTCACTACCCTCTGGTTGTTTTTTGCTCCCTCCCTTTTAACTTTCTTTGAAAGATGATTTGAAGGTGTTTTCATCCATTTTGTGTTGCTATAACAGAATATCTGAGACTGGGTAGTTTATAAAGAACAGAAACTTATTTGAGACTGGATAATTTATAAAGAACAGAAATTTATTTCTCACAATTGTGAAGGCTAGGATGTACAAGATCAAGGTGCTGGCATCTGGTGGGGACCTTCTTGCTGTACCATTTCATGGCAGAAGGTGGAAGGGCAAAAGAGGACCAGTCCTGTCTGTGAAGTCCCTTTATAAGGCCATTTAATACAATTCAAAAGGGAGGAGCCCAGTGGTTTAAATACCTCTTAAAGGCCCCACCAACAGTGGGGCCAACAATACTATCACATTGGCCATTTAGTTATGTTTAGTTTTGTTTTGAGACAGAGTCTCACTCTGTTGCCCAAGCTGGGGTGCAGTGGTGCCATCTTGGCTCATTGCAACCTCTGCCTCCTGAGTAGATGGGATTACAGGCCTGCACTACCACACCCGGCTAATTTTTGTATTTTTATTAGAGGTGAGGTTTCACCATGTTGGCCAGGCTGGTCTCAAACTCCTGACCTTAGGTGATCCGCCCGCCTTGGCCTCCTAAAGTACTGGGATTACAGTCATGACCCACCAAGCGCGGCTGGCCATTTAGTTTTAACACCTGAATTTTGGAGGGAACATCTTCAAACTATAGCAGAGGGAGTGTGGAGATACACAATTTTGTAGGCTTATTAAGGAAACTGATAAATTATGGTTCCTCTTGAGGAAAGAGTACATGCTACCAACCTAAAAGGAAGAGGCTGATGCACAAAATATAATTTGAAGAGTTTACTTGAGCCAAAGTGAGGGCAGCTGCCCAGAAGACTTAACTAACCTTGGATATGAGCTCCCTTCAGCCTTTGTTACAAACAGGCTTTTAAAGGCAAAAAGGGTGACAGAGTAGGCTGATACAAAGTTGTTTGTCAGGAATTCTGTTTGGTTTGCAGAAATAACATTGATAAGTGATTGGCTATTTTTTTTTGGTGTGGTATTTTAAATGTCATTTTCTTTTTTTAAAAATGTACTTTAAATTCTGGGATACATGTGCAGAACATGCAGGTTTGTTACATAGATATACACATGATTGGCTGTATGTTTTTAAGCTATAGGATGTGGGTTATAGTGTCCAGTGTGACATTATTAGGTTAATGTACAGCTGTTTATGGCAATAGTAAGCGGTTTCAAGAGATGAATACATAGCTTAAAGTGGGGAGTTACAACATGATTGCTGTCTCATTTTCATGCCCTCCCCAGCCTGATAATTTAAAAGGACTTGCCTTCCTCAGATGAAAGAACTTTGCTTTCTTCAGTGCAAAGTAACTATATAACAAAATATAAAATAACTGCATAATAACCATATAACCATGAGGAACAAAATATAACAAAACATCAGCAACAGAAAACATTTAGTTCACATGTGTATTACATTCTGGTTGAATTTTTTCCCTCTGTCCCTTTAGATTTATATTGGCTAGTCTTTTCGTCAACAAATTTAGTTTTTAAATCTTGTTTTTAAGCAATAGAAAATCCTTTATCATTTCTAGAAGATAAACCCACAGCAGAGAGAAAAGACTATTTAGCCTCAAATTCTACAGCATTATAAACAACTACAGGGAAAATGACAAATTTTTTTTTGTATGTATGTATGTATGTATTTCTAAGGGAAAAAATCCTTCTGTATAAAACTCACTGGATGACACCAATTTTTCTAAAAGTGGGAATCAATACTAGAAGGATAAAACACCATTTTAAAATTCATGTTCCAAGTCAGTATTTTACTTTAATAACAGTTACAAAATAGTGAACAACGCACATGAAGCGATAATAGCCGAAATCATATATCAGCCATGCATGCAGTTCATACTTGGTAGAGGGAGGTAGGAGGCACTGAAAGTGCACTGTTGGACGAATTTATAATCACTCTAAAAACAAAACCCTCTAAAAAGGGAACCTAGGGACTACCCAGACAAGATGGAAAGGCTCTGATTCATTTATTAGACTGCATAGAATTTCAGTCTGTAGTGAGCAGGGTACCTGGAACTCTATACATAAAATTCTGTGTCATATTCTTTTTTTTTTTGAGATGGAGTTTCACTCTTGTTGCCCAGGCTGGAGTGCAATGGTGTGATCTCAGCTCACCGCAACCTCCATCTCCCAGGTTCAAGCAACTGTCCTGACTCAGCCTCCCTAGTCGCTGGGATTACAGGCATGCGCCACCACGGCCAGCTAATTTTGTATTTTTAGTAGACACGGGGTTGCTCCATGTTGGTCAGGCTGGTCTCGAACTCTCGACCTCAGGTGATCCGCCTGCCTCAGCCTCTCAAAGTGCTGGGATTACAGGTGTGAGCCACCGCGCCCAGCCTCGTATTCTTTCACTTAATCCACAATATCATGTACCAATGGGCAAAACTTTGCTCCATTTCTAAAAATAGTTAAACTGAGAAATTATTCAAAGGTACATTTTTATATATAAGATATAGCAATTTTAAACATCTTACCCCTTGTGATGAATAAGAAATGGCACAAAGCCACTACATATCATTTGAATATAAAACTTTTTTTCTTTTAAAACAGCTCTCATTTCCCATGCAATTTTAAGAAATAAAATTTTCCCCAAGGGGATGGCAGGAATGTGATTTCATGAGAATTACTATAGTTGGAGAGAGTCCAGAAAATCTAAAATAATAAAATTGGTTATAAGCTGACAAATTTTATTGACTTAACTGCAGGTTAAGATTTCACTCTGCTGGCTTTCAGAAAAAGGCCCTGACAAGTTAAATGAGAATGATTTAAAAATATAAGTTCAAAAAGCTACACAAATACTTATAAAAGGTTATACAGTGTGTTGTATTTTTGAGATGACTTTTTTTCGAGCCTGTTAAGTCAAAGAGTCAGTTTAGTGATTTAAATATGTAAACTGAGAACACCATAAAATGATGGACTGGATTAAGAAAATGTGGCACATCTACACCATGGAATACTATGCAGCCATAAAAAAGGATGAGTTCATGTCCTTTGCAGGGACATGGATGAAGCTGGAAACCATCATTCTGAGCAAACTATCGCAAGGACAGAAACCCAAACACCGCATAGGTGTTTCTCACTCATAGGTGGGAATTGAACAATGAGAACACTTGGACACAGGGCAGGAAATATCATACACTAGGGCCTGTCGTGGCGTGGGGGATGGGGGAGGGATAGTATTAGGAGAAATACCTAATGTAAGTGACCAGTTAATGGGTGCAGCAAACAAACATGGCACATGTATACATATGTAACAAACCTGCACATTGTGAACATATACCGTAGAACTTAAAGTATACTACTACTACTACTACTAATAAAAACTGAAATTACCTCAACAAAAGGCAATGCCAGGTAGTTACAAACATGTACTACCCAATCCTGCCTGAAGGTGGGAGTCTTCAGTTATGTAATGGTTTAGGGCACAGCAAAAAAAAAAAAAAAAAAAAAAACAAGAGTATTAGACGTAAAAGAAGAAACATTTTTACCCCACTCCAATATGACAGTGCAAAAATATAAGTATATAATTAAGGCTCCCTTATCCATCTAGAGTGATAATGGGCATTGACCCATCTATAAAAACAAACAAAAAAAAGAGAGCGAGAAGCCAAAAATGGAAGAGAAAGGTATACCTGAAGGAATTGGTTTACTCTACTGTAACGTTTGAGTGTTAGATAACTTAATGCTATGTAGCCTGATGCTACTACAGTTCTTTTGGTGGAGAGATGGTGGAGTTACAATCACCAGGTGGCTGAATTATGTATGCTGAGTTACTTACCCAAAGGAAAAGACTGAGGAAGAATAATTGGAAAAATCTGCAGTTACAAATGACACATATATGTACTCAAAATGAAAGGGGAAGTACAAAGAACAAAAAAGGGAGTACAGGCTAACTATAACAAACAGAAAGAACAATCACATCAGATTAATGTCTAGATTCTTAGGTCTTATGTCCTAATAAACAAAAGGTTAGTACTGACAACATGATACTTAAACGACATGTCTATGACAGCTAAGGTGAAACAGAAGCCAAACAGATTTCTTGCAGAAAGAAATGGCACAAGAAAACATTGGCATGCAAGTGCTTTTGATAACCATCTCTTATGAGACATAATAAATAGTATCTCTGGATTTATTTTGAATATGTCTAACTGGTTTGGCTGCTTCTCTTTATTTGGTAGTTCAACGTGAAAGCTAAATTTGCCACATTGAGACCTCAAACCATGGTGGCAACACTGTTTATTTCCATGAAGCAGGGAAAATCCTTATGAATAAGAACTAAGGAGTAAAAGCACTGTTAGCTTACACAGGACTTAAAAAGGCTTTTCAACTAAGACATTTCTACATGAAATTTGGTACTTAATAATGGGTATAGTTGTATGTACTTCACAAACTTAAAGATTACTCAAATATGCACATAAAGGTAACAGTAAGCAACAACAACAAAAAGGAATCAGAAGTATCAGGTTACTGACCCATGTCCTGAAGGAGCAATGAAGTATAAACAACACTGCACCCTGTTACCAGGCATCTGACATCTGTTCACTCGCGATTCTGCATTTAGGTAGTCCTCAAATTTACTATCAATATAATTGATAGCAGGCTGCCAGCTATAGAATGCAAATAAACAAAACAATTAAGTTGCAATACTACATATGAATTAACTGATGACTGTTAAAGGACAATAATCAATATTTTCAAATAGGCAAAATGAATTAACCAATGGAAGATATGTCAAGTTATTCTATATAAAGATTCAAAAATATAAATTGTGTTGAATAAATCTTTATTCATTATTTCAAAACTTTCCAAATGAAAGAAAATATTTATTGTTGAAACACAGCTAAATTATTAGCATACTATTGGCACTAGTAAGTGTATTAATAACACACTTCATAATATGAAAACAATTATATTCAGTTTCAAATTTCAAAGGAGAGATTACTTAAATAATATAAAAACTTCATGATGAACTTAGGAGTTTTAAGAGTTGACAGAAAAATACCTCAAAAACAATGTAAATTCAAACAAAATTAAAGTTATTTATAAAATACTAAGATAATTACTTCAGACTAAAATTTCATAGTTTTCTTCACTTAGGACTTATGGAAAAACTGAAGGTCTAAATATCAGGTTTAAATTAGGATTGAGATAGAATTTATACAAATGGATAAAATTAAAGCAAACCGTTTTAAATTTCTTACAATAATGAGAATTCTTCTATCTAGCTACGTTATTTTGGAATATGTCTTAAAAACAATTTTATGATAGGTATTATCTCCATTTTATCAAAAAGTAAATGGGTTCAAATAAGTTAAACTTCTTTGTTTAACTTTGAATTTAAACTTTGTCAAATAAGTGGCAAAGTTGGTATACAAACCTGTCATGTTACTTGAAGTTTGGTGACCTTTGCTAAGAAGAGTTTTAAAATGTTAAGAAGAGAAAGTTTAACCACCCCAGTACCCCAAATACACTGGAAAGTTGTGAGGACAAATCCTTTTTACCAATTACTATTATCCACTGCATCTCCAAATCCTGGGGTATCAACTATTGTAAGCAGCAACTGAACACCACCTTCTTTGATTAAAACTTTGGATTGTTCCATCTATAAGAGTAATTGGTGCAGATGTTAATATCATACATTACACCAGTGATTTCTTACCAGGGGTGATGGTAGGGATGTTTGAGTTTATCTACCTACTCCCACATTTTCTTTAGGATCAATGATTGTGGGCATTGGGAATCCAGATTATTTGAAAGAAAAGCATATATACAAATAGTGTGCCAATCTCTTGGCAAATTAATACTGGGTTTATGAGTCATACTTGGTATAAAGAAAGACAGAGGAACTGATAAAATTCTGATCACCACTAAAGACATGTAATACATAACTTAAATGTGCATCTAATAATACAATTAAGCAGTTTGAGTGATTCAGTCATTCACAGAGTTCAAATGTAATTAACCAGGCAAGAACATTTAATCTACCGTTTATAGTAAATGTCTTCCTGGACTATTCTCTATCAAGTTTGGCCCAAACCACTCACTCAAATGAACTTACTATCATTCCTAAATCTTTCTCAGCATGGATGTAATTACCCTTATATTTATGTTATGGCTAGGATCCAATCCTCTTCTCAAATGCGATACTCCACATTCCGGAAAATGTAATCAGCAAAGGTCCAGACAGTTAATAAAAAAAAGTGTATTCTGGTAGGGTGAAATCTTACTGATTATTGGACTTAAATGATAACAACAGTTCCTGGAACAATTTAAGATATTCTGTAACCTCAAGCTCTGTATCAGGAGATGTATTATCATTCATCCTGGGCATATGCTGCTGTTAAATGCAAAGTATCAGTTTTCAGGAGCCCAAGATAAAGCAAACATGGATTCAAATAAAAAGGGAATAATTCCTTCATAAGATAGGCTTTCTCCTGATACACATTTATATCAAGTCCTTTTTAAGGCAAGAGGCTCCAAGTATGCTGATAAGCTAATTTACAAGACAAAAAGTTTGGGACACTTTTAGAGATAGCCTATTTCCTTTTGGCATGTTTTATAGATGCTACCTAATGCATGAAGAGACTAACATGCGGAGACTAAGATTGCTGAGCAAGAAAAGTCTGTAGCCACACTATCCAATAACACTTTCTGAGATGATGGAATTGTTGTGTATCCACACTGTCCAATATGGTAGCCACTTGCCCATGTGGCTACTTATTCCTTAAAATCTGACTAGTGCAAATAAGGAACTGATATTTAATTTTATTTAATTTGAATTAACTTAAATAGCCACATGTGGCTAGTGACTACTGAATACACAGCAGAGGTCTATAGCAATCAAGAGTTTTCTGTTAAAAGAATTTTATTATCAAGAATAAAACTTATAAAACTGAAAAAAATTGCCTGAGATGTGGACATGCATGACTTATCTTTTAGAGAAATGAGATGCCAAAGTCTTATCTTTTAGATTAATGTTCTTCAAACTGCTTTGATCCTGATACAAACTATCAGTGAAAATTTTGCAGATCCAAAAGATATTTACCCACCAAATATATACTATTGGCAATCTGAATATTAAGTATTAATATGTATTATCATTTATCTGTAGATTAAAAGTAAACATCAATAAATAAGAGTTGTAATAGTTTCTGATCATTCTCAGTATCAGTGATGGATGCATATCATTTAGAAGATCACTGTTACATACCACATAACTAAGATAACATGTCTATTATCAGGTTACCCTAATAACATGAGAGAGGCAAAATGACTCAGAGAAAACAATCAGATTCATCAGTGTGAAATCATGAGAACCAAAGGAAAAAAAATTTTTTTTTTTAGTCAGGGTCTCACTCTGTTGCCCAGGCTGGAGTGCATGGTAGATCATAGCTTACTGCAGCTTCAAACTCCTGGGTTCAAGCAATCTTCCCATTTCAGCCTCCCAAAGTGCTGGGTCAAAAAAAATTTTTAACGATATCATCTTATCTGGTTTAGGAAGTTTACATTTTCTTTATCTGGTGATCTTCTAGTCAAAGGACAACCCAGTCAAATCTAACATCTCAATATCTTGAATTCACCTCCATCTCCTTTATAAAGACAGATCATTTATTCATGGTAACTGTGGCTGAAGTAGAAATATCCACAGTAATTATACCACTCCTTTACCCACTTACTCTTTTAAACAACATAGTACTGTATTCTAGAAAGAGATACAAAAATATAGTTAATTTACATGAATCATCTCCCAATTTTACTTAAAAATATTTCTGGTTCCTTTATTACCAAATGAAGCCCATTCTACCTTCAGTAATATGCTGTATAACAAATACACATTTTAACCTAACAGCTTAAATTTTAAGATATTTCCCTGTTTAAAAAAAAAATCAGTTCAACAACTTAATTACTTATTGACTTGCTAAGACAAATGAAGATTTGTATTTTACACACATAAGGAATGTTTATAAAGCTTCTTTTCTTTTCTGGCCTATGAAATTCTGTATGTCCATACATGGTCAAATACAAAGAAGTCAGCGACATATGGAAGAGATCCAGAAAACATAACTGCAAACTAGTGCCATTCACAGGATCCAACTGGACCCTATCATCTGCTTTTACAAGTATCCTCATGGGATCCATGGAAAACAAATTAGTTCAAGTCTAAGAATTTCAGACTTTCCCTAACAAATCTATTCCAAATGGCCACTTTCCCATGCACTTTCCTTAAGCAGGCCACATCAACATCTTTTATGGCATCACTCAGGGTTCTCTAAGATTAGCTGCATAATTTAATAACAAAAAAATGAATCAAGAACATTTTCAAATGTTTTTCCCTGAAAAATAAATAAACTAAAACTATCATCTATGAATCATCTATGTATAATTCATCTATTGAGACCTCTTTTGGCATCCGAGATTCCAGAAACCAAAGGTACTCATTTTCTAATACTGAGTGTATACAGTATACAAGAGTATTAGTATACTGAGTTTTCAGTTTTACAATCTGAGGAAAAAAAGTCAAACAATGTTGATTATACAGCTTCATATACACTAACCTTTTCTAACTTAATGTTTACATGCCATTTATTAAGGTAAATTAAGAAGTTATTTAATTAAGCATATAACATTTTGAAGAGAGGGTTAAAATTTTCTGTCAAGAACTTACCTCTACCTACACTTGCTCAAGAGGTAGCATTACAGCCAAAACTCTGAAGACATTGGAATGGCCTGAGATACTCCACTTAGCTCAAACACAAAAACTATCTATTTCCCTTATTTATTGGCTCAAAAGACAAATATCATCTTAAATGTTTCATGGTGTTCCACAAGAAAATGAAAGAGGAAGTAACCAATAGTAGAACAGTTATGCCTGAAGAATACTTCCTTCTCATGAAGACCCAGGACTACTTTACTAAGAAGAAAGTTGATCCCAAAACTCTAATTTGGCTTTCTATTCTGAACCTCTCCACTCCTCATATCCCTGTCTCCTTATTGAGACCTCAAATCCCTTGCCCCTCTCATTTTCTATTAGCAACCTCCTTCCCAAAACCTTTATTTCTTTCCCTTTCCAACTCAATTCCCATTCTGGATTAACCCATCTTTCTATTCCTATACCATAAAATTCATGACCTTCAACCTCAAAAAGAATTTCTCTGCTAATATTCCTCTTATGTGCTCCTTAGTCTCATGCCTCTCCCATTCCCTAATAGGCTCTTCCCAAGCCCGTGCCTGTCACAATGCTCAGTGAAGTACCTCACATCACCACTTAAAAATGAGACCATTCCCAGTCTGTCTGAATCAGCACTGTACCTTCCATGGTACAGTGTGTGTGAAATTTATCTTTTTCCTAAAGCTAATTTCTCAATCTATTCTAGGGAACTGATTAATTTCCATTTTAGATTCATCTTGACAACCGTTTACACTATTTCCCCTATATCTTCAAGACTACTGGGCTTGGTAAGGAGCCAGCCAACTATTAAAAAGATTACATTCTCATTTTCTAACTATATTCAGGCTTCTTGAATGACTCTGACCCTGTCCGTAATATGGCATGTTCTTTCCTAACTGGGCACAAGAGTTTAGATTATCTTCAGCTAGTTTTCAGTATATAAAGGAATACACCTCCATGGTTCAATCAGGAAAGAGGACTTCTACAGGATTCTACTAAGGATCAATCTGGTTCTCAAATGTTACAGGTCTTCTTTTTGGCACAGAAAAGATATTTAACAGTGGTGCACAGGCCTGTCTTAAAAATCCTACTAGAGATATTCTCACCTCCATTACCCCTTTGTTTTCAAGATAAAGAGAGTTTCCGGGAAGATATTCACAACAGAAGAGGATATTTTTGAAGTGTTACTTTAAAGGAAGGTAAAATGGGTTTAGGCAACTTATTTTGAAGCTAAGCCAATGTAAGAATTCTAAAATAAATTGAGGGCATGTCACATCTTTAACAGATGCTCACCTGGGGAGAAAATGTCTGCAATATCTAAAATGTAGGGGATTATTAGATTTTTCAAACTCTTATAAATCAGCAAGAAAATGACAGAAAATATTAAGATTACCAAAAGACTTTAATGAAATCTGAACAGTTATTGAGTACAAAAGACATGTTCAACCTCACTAGAAATCAAATAAACTCAAATACCTTTATATCTTTATGCACACACAACAGCAATGAGTGCCTAAGTCTACTAAGACATGCACAAGAATGTTCCCGTTAGTAAAAAACTGAAAACCCAAAGGCTTATCTACAATAAATAATAAAGGATATACTGATACATTCACACAATGGAGTATTATACGACGATGAAAAAAACAACTACACCCAACATGAGTAAATAATACAGACAGAATCTTCACTGAAAGAAAACAGATACAAAAAAGTATACGTATATAACGTTCAAGAACAGGCAAATTTATGGAGAAGGCATTCAGTAAGGTGTTTATCTTTGGGGGTTGTAATACTGAATGCGAGTGAGCACATGGAAGAAACTAGGGTTCTGGAAATGAACTGTATATTAATTTGGATAGTGCTTAGTTTTACCTTTCATATCTAAATTCATAAATACTTAAGTGAAGGTATTCATAATAGATACCCAAATTAAGAAAGTTCAAAGTTCATTTTCTTGCTTAGGTTTAAAATTTCCAATATTTATCACAAAATAAATAAGCAGGTAGGATCAAGTTTTTAGAGTAGAATTTTGCAGGTAATTTTAAATCTCAAGCCCTATGAAGGTTACTAAAAAAAAAAAAATTCCTAAAATAGAAACATTAAAAAGGAGAAATAAGATATTTACTTCACAAAATTACTCCTTTGGGGTCTTGCAGTATGATATATATGAGTTACTGCTCAGAATATATAGACTGTCCTCCTATCCTGTGCACTGGGATGATCACTACCACTTCTTCAAATCCAGCTAAAAGCATCATGGCCTCAATGAAGCCTACTCCAGCCAGAACTGTTCATGTGCCTCCTCTCTGCTCATGTCCTATATATTACCTAAGCAGAGCTCACCAACAATATTTTTCATCAACAGCTTAGAGCAGCGCTGCCAAATAAAAATACCATGTCGGTCATGTAAGTAATTTAAAATTTTCTTAGTAGCCACTTTTAAAATAGGAAAAAGGTGAAATCAGTCAATTTTATTTAACCCGATACATCCAAAATATCACTGCAGTATACAATCAATATAAAAAATTACGGAGATTTTCTTTTCCATGCTCAGTCTTAGAAATCTGTGGCATATTTTATATTTGCAGAACATCACAATTCAGACTACCCACATTTCAAAGATTAATAGCCACATGTGGCTACAGGCTGCTGTACTATTTAATAAAAAGTGCATATCTAGAGTCTAGCCCCTTGCTTTATAAAGTGTGATCTACCATCCAGCAGCATCAGCATCACCTGGGATCTTGTTAGAAATGTAGAAAGGCAGCCCATCTCAGAACTACTAGAAGAAATAAATTTAACAGGATACCCAGGATTGGAATGCATAGCAAAGACTGAGAAGCAGTAAATTAAATCACATATAGCTTGGGAGTCTTACCGAATTGCTATTGCCATTCAACTATGATATGGTATTATCCCACTGACTAATATGGAACACTGTATTTAAATAACAATAGTTTTTCTATGAATCATGTTTTCTCTACACTGTCCAATGCAATTTTCTACAATGATGAAAATCTTCACATATGTGCTGCACAAAATGGCAGCCACTTGCCACAGGTGGCTGTTGAGCACTTGAAATGTATCTGGAGCAAATGAGAAATTGCATTTTAATTTAATTAATTTTAATTGATTTAAACATGTGGCAAATGACTATCATACTACATAGCACAACTCCAGGGGAATTGGTTACTATGTCACAGTGTCATCTCTAGGAGAATCCTTAGGACAAATTTGGAAAGTTCTAGTCAAGATAATTCTTTTGATTAACTGTACTTCTTCTGTTTTTTTAATTTTATGAAGTCATATTTACCATCTTACACTGGCTAAGGGCAAATTTGCATCTTACCTCTAAGGAAGCATAATAAAAGTTACAACACATGCTTTGTGTGTATTAATATTATTCCAGCTTATCATCAATTAAAAATACCAATATCTAGACCTGTACAGGTTTTTTAATTCTCTGAGAAGGACCTGGATACTCTGGAGAATACAAATCTGTGAGGAATAATGAGTTGATTAATGTCAACTTTCCCAGTCCAGATTCGTCTAAAAGAAATAAGGGAAAATATCTGTTAAACTCACCCACTTTACCCAACCTTAAATATTCAACAGATGCTGTAATTGAACTTGCTTTATGCAAGTATTTCTTGGTGAGACAATGAAATGACATTAGAAAATATGCTACAAAGAATAAGTATCTTGTCCTCAGTTTCTTAGCTATCAAATTAAACTCACGTTTCCAAGGATTCTTTTCAGCCTTCTAATTATACCACTTATATTCATTAAAAGTAATGTATCTAATAATTACATTTTTAACAGTAATGTATTCCCAAAGAAAAAAGTCAGTCATTATTTAAAAATCCAAGTTGGATTATATATCACTGCTTCAGTGAAATAAAGTTTTTCTTTATTAATAGACAATAATGAATGAATAATAAACAAGAAATCATGCAGCTATAAAAAGCAAAAATCTGCTAATACAAAGAATAATTAATCACAATGAACATCTCTGTATAAAATTCAAAATCACAAAAAATACTTTCTAATTTCGCCGCCCATCAGCCTAAATATAAGGGTGATTCTCCACAAACCAGAATCCAAAAAAATCTTAGGTAATTACTTTTTCTACCACTTCTACTCAAGGTAGGAGGTAGACACGAAGGAAGCTAGGGCATGATTTCTACTCTGACCACATACTCTTTTTTGACTCTCCGTGTTTAGTCCAATATACATAGTCCAGTGTATAGTAATTATTACAAGTATACCAAAATATAAATGGCTTCAAGGTATATATAACCTAAGGTTAAAACAAATTATAAATCAGATTATGATAATTAACATGGCACAGAGTTAAAGTATTTATTGTTAATAACTCACTTAGCATAATAGGCATGTTTAGCCTAAGTAACTGGTGTCACAATATTTTTATGCCTAGGAGGAATTCTTTTTATATAGCTCTCAAAAGAGATAAGATTCTCTCCACGTGGTTTGGGCTTACTCCTTTGACTGAGAGCATGCCACTTTTTACTAGAGGTTGATGTATGACTCAACTTAGAGTTGAGGATGAAAAGTGGGGATCATAGCACCTGCCTATACCCTGGTACAGATCATATGATGTTGATTTATTTATTTGTGGAGTCAGGGTCTCGCTGTGTTGCCCAGGCTGGAGTGCAGTGGTACGATCATGGCTCACTGCAGCCTTGAACTCCTGGGTGTGGTGGTGCACACCTGTTGTCCCAGCAACTCTGGCAGGCTGAGGCAGGAGAATCGCTTGAACTCAGGAGGTGGAGGTTGCAGTGAGCCGAGATTATGCCACTACACTCCAGCCTGGAGACAAAGTAAGACTCCATCTCAGGAAAAAAAAAATTTAATTTAAAAAGTTCTAGTATCTAAAATGAGCAAAATCGCCAGGCATGGTGGGTCACACTTGTAATCCCAGCACTTTGGGATGCAGAAGTGGGTGGACCATCCGAAGTCAGAGGTTGAGACCAGCCTGCAGTGAGCCGAGATTGCACCACTGCACTCCAGCCTGGGAGACAGAGTGAGACTCCATTTCAAAAAAATTAGCCAAGCGTGGTAGCATGCACCTGTAGTCCTAGCTACCGGGGAGGCTGACAGGGAAGGATTCCTTGAGCCCGAAGGTCAAGGCTGCAGTGAGCCTTGTTTGCACCACCTCACTCCAACCTGGGCAAGACCCCATCTCAAAAAAGAAAAAAAAAACACAAAAACAAAAAACAAAACAGAACAGAACAGCATCACTTCCTTATCATTAGTTTGAAGGAAGTGAATTGCCTGTAAAATTTTCCATTTTCAAAAAAAGTATTAAAATATAGTGTAAAGCCAGTCACGATGGCTGTAATCTCAGCACTTTGGGAGGCTGAAATGGATTGCCCCTGGAGGTCAAGGCTGCAGCTGACCGATCCTCCTGCCTAAGCCCGGCAAGTAGCGGAGACTACAAGTGCGTGCCACCATGCCCAGCTAATTTTTTGTATTTTTGTAGAGACAGGGTTCCACCATGTTGCCCAAACTAGTCTGGAATTCCTGAGCTCAAGCGATCCACCTGCTTCCGCCACCGCCTCTGCCTCCCAAAATGCTGGGATTACGGGCGTGAGCCACCGGGCCTGGCACAATTACTTTCTTCAGTCTGAGCATGAGTGCTGGAAGAAAAGCTCTCACTTATATATAATTTTTTAGAGACAGAGTCTCCCTCTGTTACACGGGCTGGAGTGCAATGGCGCAATCTCAGCTCACTGTAACCTCAACCTCCAGTGCTTGATCGCTTATATAATCTCAGCTCACTGTAATCTCAACCTCCTGGGCTCGATCGCATATATATACACACATATATTTGTTTGTTTAGACGGAGTCTTGGTCTGTTGCCCAGGCTGGAGTGCAGTGGCGCGATCTCCGCTCACTGCAACCTCCGCATCCCGGGTTCAAACAATTCTCTGCCTCAGCCTCCCGAGTAGCTGGGATTACAGGCACCTGCCACCACGCCCGACTAATTTTTGTGTTTTTAGTAGAGACGGGGTTTCAGTGAAACCATGCTGGCCAGGCTGGTCTTGAACTCCTCTCCTCGCGATCCCGCCTCGACCTCCCAAAGTGCTGGGATTACAGGCGTGGGCCACCTCGCCCAGCCGACAGATTATATTTTCAAAAAGATGTTTTCTTTGTTTCCTAGCCCCTTCTACCCCGCTACAAAGTTTCAAAGACTTAATGCTATTACAAAGGGCCGTCAGAGGTCAAGCTCAGGGTTGCAGCTCCCTCATGCCGGGCAGCCTCAGAGGGGCCGACCCTACCCAGGATGAGCAGCGCCAGATAGCCGGGGACGCTCCCGGGGATCCACGGGCCCTGGCTGGGGGAGGCGTTGTGGGGCGCACGTACACAGGCTCAAGTGAGGCGAGTGGGCGGCCGGGGCTGCAGCTGGTGCTGGCCATTGAGGAGCTTCTGCGCGACAGTGCGATCGGTTGCACCTTCTGCGACAGGTGCCGGCCGGTTGGCGCGCAGCGCCTGCTAGCGCAGAGTCTGGCCCTTGCTGCGCCCGGCCCCGAAGACCGGGAAGTCGTAAAGCTCCTCATCGCAGCTTATGTGTGGCGGCGGCCGGGCCGAAGCCTAGCGACACAGAACTGCCAGCTCAGCAGCCGGTTACATCTCGCCCGGCAACCCATAGGCAGCGTCCGCTCATGCGCGCTCCTGGAAGACCCAGCAGCCCCGCCATGAGTTCCGATTGGCTCCGCGTGAGTGGCGGTCCCCTGTGACGTCGCAAGGGCGCGCCTTCCGCGGCGCCGCAAGGGCGCGCCTTCCGCGGCGCCGCAAGGGCGCGCCTTCCGCGGCGCCGCAAGGGCGCGCCTTCCGCGGCGCCGCAAGGGCGCGCCTTCCCCGGCGCCGCAAGGGCGCGCCTTCCCCGGCGCCGCACGGGCGCGCCTTCCCCGGCGCCGCACGGGCGCGCCTTCCCCGGCGCCGCAAGGGCGCGCCTTCGCCGACACCATAGAGGTGGGCCTTTGGCGAGTCACAGGCGCGGGTGTTCGGCTACGTCACTGGGGCGCTACGGTGCCTGGAGCTGGGCAGTCTTCTCGTCAGAGTGGGGACTGGTAAGAGCGACCTCACCGCCAGGTCCTGTGTGTTGCCGGCTGAAGAAGGGTAGCTGAAAAATTCAGACCCAGCACAGTGTTTATGTTGGTCAAAAATAGAAAACTATGTCTGCCGCGGCCGAGGCAGGAGGACCCTTCAGGCCAAGAGCAGCCTAGCAACATGGCGCAACCCCATCTCTGTAGTCCTACCTCAGCCCCCCAGCTACTTGAACCCAAAGGTTCAAGGCTCCAGTGAGCTATGATCCCACCACAGCATTCCAGCCTGCGAGATTGAGGTAAACCGTGTCTAAAAAAATTAAAAAAACTATCCAAGTGTGCAACAGGGAGGGACTGCTAAATAAAACATGAGGCTGGCTGGGCCCTACTGTAATCCCAGCACTTTGGGAGGCCAAAGCGGGAGGATGGATGGCTTGGGCTCAGGAGTTCGAGACCAGCCTGGGCAACATGACGAAACCCCGTCTCTACAAAAGATACAAAAATTAGCCGGGTGCTGTGTGCACCTGGCCTAATTTTTGTATTTTTTTCTAGAGATGGGGTGGGCGGGGGGTCTCGCTATGTTGCCCGGGCCAGTTTCGAACTCCTGAGTTGTAGCGATCTTCTCAGCTTGGCCATCAGAGTTGTCGGGATTACAGGCGTGAGGGACAGCGCCCCACCTGGGTTAGGCTACTTAATAACATAAGAAAGTGCTCCGCCAGGCTCAGTGGCTGACACTTGTAATCCCAACACTTTGGGAGGCCAAGGCAGGTGGATCACCTGAGGTCAGGAGTTGGAGACCAGCCTGGCCATGGTGAAACCCAGTCTCTACAAAAAATACAAAAATTAGCCGGCCGTGGTGGCGCATGCCTGTAGTCCCAGCTACTTGGGAGGCTGATAAAGGAGAATTACTTGAACCCGGGAGGCGGAGGTTGCATTGGGCTGAGATCGCACTACTGCACCCCAGCCTGGGCAACACAGCGAGACTCCAAAGTTTGACACCAGCCTGGGCAATGTAGTGACACCCTGTCTCTACAAAACAAACAAAAACCCAGGCATAACTGTGTCCACCTGTGGCCCTAGCTAGTTAGGAGGCTGAGGCAGGAGGATCACTTGAGTCCAGGAGCTCAAGGCTGCAGTGAGCTATGATAATCCCACTGCTTCCCATCCTGAGCAATAGAATGAAAGCATGTCTCTAGCTAGCTAGCTAGCTAGATAATTGATATGTAGTTTTGTATCAAATTTTTTCCCTAGATTTGAGCATGTTTTTCTAAAGTAGCATTCAACACATCAGCATTTTACAGTGTTATTATTTGTTAATATGATTATGTTTTTCTGAAATACAGTGTCCTTTACAAAAGCAGTTTTGTCGTTCAAAGCACATAGATAAGGCCCTCAAGTGAATTTGTCTGATGTTGGCGACCTTGGTACCATTTTGTCCACTTGATTGGAAAAGCCAGTCAATAATTTCAGGTCACTGTTGGCCTTAGAAGAAGAGCCCAAAGGCAACAAGCAAAGGCGCTGGTGTCCAGTCACCTTCTAGAAGCATTTTCACTTTCCCTTAAGGTTTCCCTTGATGAACATAGAAGTACTGTATGTAGAATTGACCCAGTGCTGCCCTGGCAACTTTGTATATTAGGCCAAATTTACATTTCTTACCTTTATGAGAGGCACCCTGGTAGGCTAGTGGAGTTACCCACAAAGTCTGATCTCAGCTGCACTGTCCAGAGATGCAACACGGTCCAATCAAATAACATTCTCTGAGCCCGTTTCTTTAGCTGTGAAAGAAGAATAACATACCCATCTAAAAAGGCAGCTTATTGTATTTGATTGGTCTTTTATTTTCTATGAAACTGTGTTTAACACAGTAATTATTTTCATTTGTGTACTACATTTGTGTTGTGTTTTTGGTTTTAGTTTTGTTTTTGAAATGGAGTCTTTTTTTTAGTGGTTTTTTGTTTTGTTTTGTTTTGTTTTTGAGATGGAGTCTTTCTGTTGTCACCCAGGCTAGAGTGCAGTGGCGTGATCTCCGCTCACTGCAACCTCCACCTCCCAGGTTCAAGTGATTCTCCTGCCTCAGCCTCCTGAGAAGCTGGGATTACAGGTGCCCACCACCACGCCCAGCTAATTTTTTAAATATATTTTTAGTAGAGATGGGGTTACAACATGTTGCCCAGGCTGGTCTCAAACTACTGACGTCAAGTGATCCACCCGCCTTGGCTTCCCAAAGTGCTGGGATTATAGGCATGAGCCACTGCGCCTGGCTTGTTTTAAAATAAGGGTTTCTTGGCTAGGCATGGTGGCTCACACCTGTAATCCCAGCACTTTGGGAGGCCAAGGTCAGTGGATCACCTGAGGTCAGGAGTTCGAGACCAGCCTGACCAATATGGAGAAACCCTGTCTCAACTGAAAATACAAAATTAGCCAGGCGTGGTGGTGCATGCCTGTAATCCCAGCTACTCAGGAGGCTGAGGAAGGAGAATTGCTTGAACCCGGGGGGCAGAGGTTGCAGTGAGCTGAGATCGCACCATTGCACTCCAGCCTGGGCAACGAGCAAAACTCTGTCTCAAAATAAAAAAAAAATTTCTTAAAATGATATTTTCAGTATTTTATAGATGATGTGTAAGCAGCAATCTTAATAGGATGTTACCCGACACTTTGCGAGACTGGCAGCTGATTTCATCCAGATGTCTCTAATTCTTTTTTCTTTTTCTTTTTCTTTTTCTTTTTCTGTTGTTGTTTTTTTTTTTGACAGAGCCTTGCTCCGTCCCCCATGCTGGAGTGCAGTGGCACGATCTCGGCTCACTGCAACCTCCACCTCCTGGGTTCAAGCAATTCTCCTGCCTCAGGCTCCCGAGTAGCTGGGATTACAGGTGCGCACCACCCTGCCCAGCTAATTTTTTGTATTTTTGGTAGAGACAGCATTTCACCATGTTGGCCAGGCTGGTCTCGAACTCCTGACCTTAGGTGATCTGCCTGCCTCGGCTTCCCAAAGTGTTAGGATTACAGGCGTCAGCCACTGTGCCTGGCCCAGATGTCTCTATTTCTAACATGAGATGTATTGCAGGATCATAGCAGAGTGAGTTGCTGATGTATCCAGAAGGAAACGAGCATGGAACTCTCATGACAGCTGTCCTGAGAAGTGTGTGTGTGCTGTGCTTGAATATCTCACTGCTCATTTATACACAGGCTTTCTGGTGACTGAGTTAACAGTATCTGTTTCATAAATAATGTAGCCCTCTTTCTTTCTTTCTCTCTCTCTTTTTTTTTTTTTTGAGACAGGGTCTTGCTCTGCTACCCACGCTGGAGTGCAATGGTGCAGTCTCAGCTCACCGCAACTTCAGCCTCCTGGGTTCAAGCGATTCTCCTGCCTCAGCCTCCCAAGTAGCTGGGATTACAGGCATGCGCCACCATGCCTGGCTAATTTTTTCTTTTTTTTTTTTTTGAGATGGAGTTTCGCGGTTGTTGCCCAGGCTGGAGTGCAATGGCACAATCTCGGCTCACCACAATCTTTGCCTTTCAGGTTCAAGGGATTCTCCTGCCTCAGCCTCCCGAGTAGCTGGGATTACAGACATGTGCCACCACACCCAGCTAATGTTGTAGTTTTAGTAGAGATGGGGTTTCTCTATGTTGGTTAGGCTGGTCTCAAACTCCTGACCTCAGGTGATCTACCCGCCTCGGCCTCTCAAAGTGCTGGGATCACAGGCATGAGCCATCACTCCTGGCCTAATTTTTGTATTTTTAGTAGAGAGAGGGTTTCACTCTGTTGGCCAGGCTGGTCTCGAATTCCTGACCTCAAGTTATCTGCCTGCCTCAGCCTCCCAAACTGTTGGAATTACAGGCGTGAACCACCATGCCTGGCCAGCTCTATTTCTTTAAGCCTACATGTTTTGCACTTGTTAAAAGTATTTGAACATACAATTACTCAGCTTCCCTTGTTTACGTGTGAATTTTGTATAATCTTAAATATTTTTTCCAATCTAAGCTTTATTTTATCCCGTTTCTTCTATATTTGTATAACTTTAGGCGGCTATCTTCATTGAAAGTTTTTTCTCAAAAGCCTTAAGATAGAACATAGTTCTTGGCAGCAATTTGAAAGTTATTTGAGGAGAAGGGGAGACTTACAATGATGATTCAAATGAAGGAAACTAAAAAGTAATGAAGCAAGGCAGAGGAAAAAGCAGTATTCACTTGAGTACATCCCAAAAGAATAACATTTCAAATGTAACTAGAAAAAAGTATGCTGAAGTTCGCAATACAGAAATAATTATTAATAAGATAGCTTTAAAGCCCTGCTCAGCTTTTGAATGTTGGGAATTGACCCAGAGGTGGCTGTAACCTAAGATGGTTCCTTCAGTAATGACCATTTTTTCTTTTTCAAGATGATGATTATTCCCCACCTTCTAAGAGACAAAGACCAACGATCCACCACAGCCACCAGTCCCAGAACCCGCCAATGCTGGGGAATGGAAAATGAGGGAGTTCAACTCTGGTAAGGTCTCAGCGAAATCCATGACCTTTTCCTTTATCTTCTGGACTCTCAGTGTGACTGATGAAAGTTATCACAGGCTCTGCAGGGGGAAATGGTTTAGCATGTGTTACTACATCTTAATCACATCTTTGTAAAGCCGGGAGCATTTTACAAGTCACGTTACAGACATTGTTTAAACATAGTCTGTATTTACCAAAGTATAGGACATTGTATCATCTCATATTAATTAGTTGGCTCAAAATTAGTGCTAATGACTTAGTAATTCAGTGATTTCTGTCAGCTTTAAAACCTTTGTTTCAGAACTATTTCACCTCTTGGTTTTCATTTTTGCTGTGTGTCACTGCCTGCCGGCTGCTAATTTATTAACTCCCAGTGAATCATGTGTCCTGTGAAGGGACTGAATATTAGTGGCAATCTATGTTGATGATTTGTATTTTGAATAAATAGTTTGAATACATAGAACATTAAGCTTGTATACATTTTGAAAATAGTATTTTAATATTCTACTGTGTCATAGTTACAATGATTGGATATATATTGAATTTATATGTACTTTAAGTTGTTATGTGTTTATGGTCTTTAGCATTCTAACGTGCAATTGTATATCTGTTAAGTCTTTTTTTTTTTCAAGATTAGACTGATTTATTGAGGCATCTGTTTGATGCCACATTAAGTGGCCCAGGCTTTGTGTAGGGGTTGAGGTTAAAGCAGGAAGAAGGGTGGTGAGAGGCGGGGTACCAGGATTAGGTTGGAATACCTGGGGGTGCTCTGAGGCTCCCCAAGTTTCCCTGGTCTTGGCCGGCTGTGCTGCTGGCCTGGGCATCTGATGGGCCTGCAAGGGTGGTCCAGGGGCTAGGGCAGGGACTTTGGAGTCACGCCGTTGGCTTTGAATCCAGACTCCTACACTTGGTAGCTGTGAACTCTCCATGCCTCAGGGACCTGCAGAACTGAGCTCTGTCTGAGCCAGGTTCCATCCAGGCACTGCGGATCCATCCAGAGGGGCACTGCCTCAGGTTGCTCGCTGTTCACTGCCTTCTCAAGCAGACCCTTGTCTCCTTCTAGGCCCTCACAATCCAGTGGAGGAGACGAAACTCATCTGCCTCTGTCCCTCTGGGCACGCCTCATGCCAGGTGCATCTGTGGACAGGGGCCATGCTCCTGGGCTTCCAAAGTTGGAGAAAGCTGCCAGGCTCAGGTGGGTACATCACAGCAGCTGCTGCCCTCTGAACACAGTGACAAAAGAACACTCTGGGCCTGGAGCCCTGGTCTGGGGCATTGGGCAAGGCTGTTGCACTTCTCTGATCCCATTTCCCCATCTGGAAAGTGCGCTGATTGTATCTCCCTGTGGGCACTGAGGGCTCAGTGTTAGTTTGAGAGCCAGCATCTGGGATTTGGGCTATAATTCCCCGTCAGCCCCATAGCTGCAGGGAACCAGGGACTTTGTTGGGATTACCCTAGGCATCAGTTTAGCTTCCTGCCCCTGGCTTGGGCTCAGCACCTGAAGTATTGTAGG
This sequence comes from Homo sapiens, assembly GCF_000001405.40. NCBI lineage: Eukaryota > Metazoa > Chordata > Mammalia > Primates > Hominidae > Homo > Homo sapiens. The sequence goes on from NW_021160000.1 coordinate 46,081, forward strand.
GGGTAGGTAGTCCTGGTGGGGGCTGGGGCTTTTACTCAGACTGAGGTCACACCCAGAGCCAGAAGTCTTGGTGCCTGCTCTGGGCAAAGTTGCCAGCCTGTGCGACAAGAGCGAAACTCCGTCTCCAAAACAAAAACAAAAAACCTTGTATCATTTCCAGGGGCTCACATCTCCCTAAGGGCCTGGTAATTGGCTGGCTCTGGCCTCCATCTGGCCCTGAGGGTGTAGGTAACACCCCACCTTACCTGGTTTCTTCCTGCCAGGGCCAATCTTCAGACTTCAGGACTTTGCAGCCTATCCCACCTCCCCTCTGGCCAGCCTTGAGCCCTTGTGGGTCCAGCACTTTTTCCAGGCTGTCTCCTGGTTGTCCTTCTGCCTCGAGGCCTGGCTCATGCTGCTCCCCCTCCCACTCTCCAAGACCCACAAGGACCACTCCACACCCAGCTCAGCCCCTCCCCTCAGATAGTCCTTTCTCTTTCCTCAGGTGGCCAGGTGCATATCTTGTGTGAGGACCTTCACTGTATCTGGGAATGCCTACTGGTTACCTCGGTAACAGAGAACAAGGCATTTACCTGATATGAGTGTCTTGGTTCACTGTCTACATGGCTAGGGAGGGAGTCAATAATAGGCTTTTCACTTGCTGCAAGGGCCAGTTCTCCTGGCCCCATGGCTCTAGGGATGGAGGACGCTGCAGGAGATGCGCCGCTCACTTCCCAGCTGAGGACTGTGGGTCATCTCAGGGCGATTTCACAGTCCCCACATGCCCCACCCCCTCAGCTCTGCAAATACCAAGCAGTGCAGCCTGCCTAGGGGATGATGGGCTCGAGAGTGCCCAGGTAGTGCCCAGAGTGCCCTTGGCAGGCCCCTCACCTAGCTGCTTCCACAGCTCTGTAGCAAGAGTTCTAACCTTTTTTGACCGTGAAGCCTGCTGAGAATAAGAGCTGTGGACTGTTTTCCCAGAAAGGCATGTACATGCTCTCCACACAAAACCTTTCATCGTGGCCAAGCACAGTGGCTCATGTAATCCCAGAACTTTGGGAGGCGGAGCCAGTCGGATCACCTGAGGTCAGGAGTTCAAGACCAGCCTGCCCAACATGGCGAAACCCTGTCTCTACTAAAAATACAAAAAATTAGCCAGGCGTGGTGGCAGCCACCTGTAATCCCAGCTACTCTGGAGGCTGAGGCAGGAGAATCACTTGAACCTGGGAGGCGCAGGCTGTAGTGTGGTGAGATCACGCCACTGCACTCCAGCCCGGGCGACAGGAGCGAAACTCTGTCTCAAAAAACAAAACAAAACAAAACCTTGCATCCTTTCAGGGGGCTCACACCTCCCTAAGGGCCCAGTAATTAAACCCTTTGGGCCTGAGGGTGAGAAACTTTGTCTGAGTTCTTCCCCGAGTGATCAGCCCAGGGGTAAGGAAGGAGAAGCCAGAAAGCAGGACCCATGAGAAGGGCCCCCTCCTGGAGTTTGAGGCCCACTCCCTCCTGCCCCTGCCTCTCCTCTGTCCAGGACTCCTCCCTGCTCTGCCCCACTCCTGGGGCCATAACCATGGGGAGCTGTGGTTTTCTACAGGCCCCTGGGCACAAAGTGGGCAGGCTCACCTGGAGGCGAGCAGAGTAACATGGCAGGAAGTGAGGGGGAAAGCCGCCCTGGAACTGCGCCTCTCTGCCCCCTGATGTCACTGGCGTGCACTCCTCCCTCCCGTCACTCAGGCAGTGGCATGAGTTCCATGGGAGCGCTGTCCTGCTCCCTCTGCTGCCTCTTTTTTTTCTTGGGGCTGCCATAACACTTTCCCTTCCCCAGCCCTGCCAACCTGGTGGGACATTGGGCTTCCCTCTCACAGGGTCCTGGGGACAGGCCCATCCTTTATCATACCCACAGAGAGACCCTTTTTTTCTTCAGGACCTGGGGAGCAGCCAGGTTCCATGAGTTAAATGCAGATCTGAACCAAGCTGGGATTGGGGTACACACTCTCCTCTACTGAAAAGTAGCTAGGGATTCCAACTAGGTGAGAAGGAGAGTGGGGCAGAGCCACACCAAACAAGGACTGATCACCTGGAAAAAGCCTACCATCAAAGGTCTTGGCAAATGCTGGGTGCAGTGGCTCACTCCTGTAATCCCAGCACTTTGCGGGGCTGAGACAGGTGGACTACTTGAGGCAAGGAGTTCGAGTCCACCCTGGGCAACATGGCAAAACCCCGTCTCTACTAGAAATAGAAAAATTAGCTAGGCATGCTACACTCCTGTAATCCCAGCTACCCAGGAGACTGAGGCAGGAGAATCACTTGAACTGGGGAGGCAGAGGTCGAAGTGAGCCGAGATTGTGCCCCTGCACTCCAGTCTGGGAGACACAGTGAAACTGGCCTCAAAAAAAAGAAAGAATATGGCCTTGGCAGAGAGGGGCCAGCCCAGCAGTGCCTTCCCTTGGGTTTCTCCTGTGTAGGCCTCTGCCATGAGGAGGTGCTTCCTTCTGCCTGTCCATGGCCCACAGCAATGGAATGTCTGCTTCTGGGGGTTGGGTGGGAGACTGCTGGCAGAACTGGAAAGCTTCAGATGGGGTTTTTTTGTTTTGTTTTGTTTTCGAGATGGAGCGTTGCTCTGTCACCCAGGCTGGAGTGCAGTGGTGGAATCTCAGTTCACTGCAACCTCCGCCCCCCTGGGTTCAAACAATTCTCCTGTCTCAGCCTCCTGAGTAGCTGAGATTACAGGCATGTGCCACCATGCCCGGCTAGTTTTTGTATTTTTTGTATAGATGGCATTTCACCATGTTGGCTGGGCTGGTCTCGAACTGCTGACCTCAAGTGATCCACCCACCTCGGCCTCCCAAAGTGCTGGGATTACAGGCATGAGCCACTGAGCCCAGCCCCTTCAGGGGTGTTTTGAGGCTTCACTACAATACTAGTTTCCTGTGGCTGCTGCAACAAATTACCACACACTTAGTGACTTAAAACAACCAAAATGTATTCCTTTACAGGTCTGAAGGCCAGAATTCTACAGTAAGTCCTACTGAGTCAAGGTGGGAGCAGGGTCGGTGGCTTCCGAGGCTCTGCGGGAGAATCCGTTTCCTGGCCGTAGAGGTGGCCTGCACTCCTCAGCTTGTGCTGCCCGTCTCGAATGACTGGAGTTTCCTGCTTCTGTCACTACACCTCCCACCCTCTCCATCACCTGCTCTGCTCTTATAAGGATCCGAGTGAGTACATCAACCGCAAAAGCCAAAGACCCTTTAACTTCATTATATCTGCAAAGCCCCTTTTGCCATATAAAGTCATGTTCACCAGTTCCCGGGATTAGGATATGGGCATCTTGGGGGCATCAGCCTGCTACAGCTAGGCTGCAAAACTGTTACACCCTCCTGGTGTTTCAATGATTGGGAGAAAAAGGGTTGGCATTTTTTGCTTAGGGATCCTTCTTAAACTTGTATCTGTAAGGTCGGGGGTCCCTCTTAACCTTGTGTTTTTGTTTTTGTTTTTTTGAGGTGGAGTCTTGCTCTGTCATCCAGGCTGGCAGTGGCGTGATCTTGGTTCACTGCAATGTCTGCCTCCTGGGTTCAGGTGATTCTCCTGCCTCAGCCTCCTGAGTAGCTGGGACTACAGGCGCCCGCCACCATGCCCTGCTGTTTTGTATTTTTGGTAGGGAAGGGGTGGGGGTGGGGCTAGGGAGGGGGGTTTTGGCTATGTTGCCCTGAGCTAAAAGCGATCCACCTGCCTCTGCTGCCGAAGTGCTGGGATTACAGGCCTGCACCACTGCACCCGGCTGCTGTAAAGTCTTATTTCACACAGCTGAGACATGTTTTAGGAAGTTTGCTAAAAGACCCCTGGAGACCGCCTCATTGTGACCTCCCTGTTATTGTGTTTAATTTGATTGAACTTTTCTGCCCTCCTGCTTTTCAGCTTCTCTAATAGTCTCCCATTAAACCAATTCTAAGAACCACCAAAAAGGGGAAATTTTTTCTTGAAAGCAGTAAAATGATATGGACTGTTAGAATGTAAAATATATGAAATAATTCATTATACGTTAGTGCTGCTCTGACATAGGGACGTATTATTGAGAAGCAACTTTTGCTTGATTTTCAGAGAAATGGAATCATCGTATCGCTGATCTGCGTAAACAAATTGAAGAATTGTCTGAAAGAAAATATGGTATGTCTAAACTGGAAAAGTCCTGTAATCTTATGTTCATGGGCGTTTACACAATGGAGTTACTGTTCATCATGGGGGTACCGTGGACAAGCCCAGGGCTGCCGGCGAGTCATGCTATCCTTACACGTTTCTCCTTGTAAGGTGCTTTGTAGTGTCTACACACTTTGTTTCTAGATTGCTGCAAAGCTGAGGAAAAGTTATATTTCTTTAGTTATTAGTTAGCATTTCTTTTAAACTTTCAGTATGGAGATTGGAAATTTATTTACATATTTATTGCAAAGCCCTGGATCTTAGGGATTTCATTGAATTATTTATTTATTTTTTTTGAGACGGAGCCTCACTCTGTCGCCCAGGCTGGAGTGCAGTGGCACGATCTCGGCTCACTGCAACCTCCGCCTCCTGGGTTCAAGCAGTTCTCTGCCTCAGCCTCCCAAGCAGCTAGGATTACAGGCACCAGCCACCACGCCTGGCTGATTTTTGTATTTTTAGTAGAGACGGAGTTTCATGATCTTGGCTAGGCTGGTCTTGAACTGCTGACCTCCTGATCCACTCACCTCAGCCTCCCACAGTGCTGGGATTACAGGTGTGAGCCGCCATGCCTGGCCAAATATTATTTTTTTAAATGAATTGTTTCTCTTAGTCTGCTTTGTTAAATTTGGAATTCATCTGGGCGCAGTGGCTCACACCTGTAATCCCAGCACTTTGGGAGGCCAAGGCAGGCAGATATCTAGGTCGGGAGTTCGAGACCAGCCTGACCAACATGGAGAAACCCCGTCTCTACTAAAAATACAAAATTAGACGGGTGTGGTGGTGCATGTCTGTAATCCCAGCTATTTGGGAGGCCAAGGCAGGAGAATTGCTTGAACCCAGGAGGCAGAGGTTGTGGTGAGCCGAGGTTGCACCATTGCACTCTAGCCTGGGCAAAAAGAGCAAAACTCCATCTCAAAATAAATAAATAAATAAAATGTTCAGTACTCACCAAGGTGCCCCTATTGTCTCTACTTTTATCTTGATGCATCACTGAATTGATGTTAGATTTCAAATTCATCATTGCCCTGATACTATTCTATCCTGAAGCCACCTTTATATAGTGATGAAAGAAATTAGCGATTTGTTATTATCCTCTCTCTGTTGGTATACATCAGATGCTCACCTAAAAAGAGCAACAACCAGTGGAAAACACATGATGTTTTTATTTGGGTGACTATTTACTTGTAACCTACTAGCAAACTATAAAATTGTATGGTATGCAGAATTTTAACTGAATTGCTTTAAGTGAACATTTAAACATGATAAACAATATTGATGGTATTTATGTTAATATACTTAAAATGAACATTTTTCTTCATCATGAGTAATATAACCTACTCCTCAATGAAAACCTAGCACTAAATTTGCTAATGAATTCAATAACATTTCCATAATATTTTTAGTTACATGCTTAAGGTTCTCTTAGTGTTTCTCCCACTTTTTAATAGCTTATGCCTTTTTCGCCTTTCGTTTTTTTTGGTTCATTTTAAAGCAAAAATCTCACAACATGTGATATCTGGAAACACTGTAACCTAGTGGTAAGACCATAGGCCCTGGGGACACAGGCTGGCCACGTCTCTTCTCCTGTCTGAGCTTTAGTATCCTCTTTTGTGGTCATGAGAACTGAAGATCTGTCCCAAAGATTTGATAAGATAGTAAAGTGCTTCACATAATTCCAGACATATAAATACACAGTAAATGCTTCCTCCTTATATTTTTATTGATTGATTGATTGAGACAGAATCTTGCTCTCTTGCCCAGGCTGGAATGCAGTGGCGTGATCATGGTTTCTGCAACCTCCACCTCCTGGGTTCAGGCAATTCTCCTGCCTCAGCCTCCCGAGTAGCTGGGATTACAGGTGCCTGCCACCATGCCCAGCTAATTATTGTACTTTTAGTACAGACGGGGTTTTACCATGTTGGCCAGGCTGGTCTCGAACTCCTGACCTCATGATCTGCCTGCCTCGGCCTCCCAAACTGCTGGGATTACAGGTGTGAGCCACTGTGCCCAGCCTGTCTTTTCACACCCGCAGTTCATGATGAAATATTAAATATGTACTAGTGGATATTACTTTGCTGAATATTGCCTAGTGAATATTAAGTATTTATTCTCACCTTTCAGACATGAACTTATGAATTCAACAGGTAAAGATTTACAACTTGATAAATCAACTTTGTGAGGTAAGTCTTCAGTCTTAAGTCAGATTAGAAGATTATGTGAGGTAATTAACACTTAACATTGATTTAATGGTAGCTTCCACATGAAATAGTATGCCTCTAAGTATTAATTATGTCCTAGGACAGGAGAATTCATGTTGTCAAAATTCTCATACTCTCTAGAACAATAAACTTATTTTCTTTTTATTAGTAAATATTGCATTTATGGGTAGACAAAACTGAAAGAACAATATTTGTTCTACTTTTGAGATGCAAGATTCATCCGGCATAATGCATTGAACCGGTTGTTATTGAAGTCTACACCAGTCAACTGAATAAGCATTCATCAAATGTCCATGATATGCAGGACATAAGTTTTCTTTTAGAGTATGGAACCATGCATATTATCTTTTAATTAGATGATTTAGTTAGACATGTTTTTAAAGAACTAGAAATATAATTGATTTTCTTGTTTTGGCTCTGGAGTGGAGTGGGGACGAAACAGAATGGATTCACACTGTTTAGATTTACTAAAATGGAAGGATTGCAGCAAGATCATATCCCTAGTCTCCCCATAGCAAATGTCACCTGCTAGCTGTTTTTTTTTTGGAGGTTGAAGTTTTGTTCTGTCGCCCCCGCTGGAGTGCAGTGGTATGATCTCAGCTCATGGCAAGCTCACCTCCTGGGTTCAAGCAATTCTCCCTGCCTCAGCATCCTAAGTAGCTGGGATTACAGGCCTCTGCCACCATGCCTGCCTAATTTTTGTATTTGTAGTAGAGTTGGGGTTTCACCATGTTGGCCAGGCTGGCCTTGAACTCCTGACTTCAGGAGATTCACCCGCCTCAGCCTCCCAAAGTGCTGGGATTATGGGTGTGTCACTGCACTTGGATTTAATGGAATATTTCACTACAGACTTTGGTAAACAGAATATTAGCATTTTTGGTGTTCTTTTTATTTTACTCATACTATTTTTCTTTGGACTCAATCACAATAACAGAATTAAAGATCAAAGTGTAAAAGTTAAAGACCAGTACAGATTCAATAATTATTCTTTTCTACATACTGTGTTTAATTGATATCCCTTTTTCTTTTTGTTCTTATAGCTCGAGCTGTAAAAGCCAAAGGTCCAGTGATGATCCCATACCCTTTTGTCCAGTCTCATGTTGAAGATTTTTATGTAGAAGGCCTTCCCAAAGGAATTTTTTTTTTTTTTTTGAGATGGAGTTTTCACTCTTATCGCCCAGGCTGGGGTGCAATGGCGCAACCTTGCTGGTCACTGCAACCTCTGCCTCCTGGGTTCAAGAAATTCTCTTGCCTTAGCCTCCCAAGTTGCTGGGATTACAGGTGCCCACCACCACACCAGGCTAATTTTTGTATTTTTAGTGGAGATGGGGTTTCACCATGTTGGCCGGGCCAGTCTCGAACTCCTGACGTCAAGTGATCTTCCCGCCTCGACTCCTGACATCAAGTGATCTTCCCACCTCGGCCTCCAAGAGTGCTGAGATTACAGATGTGAACCCATGCCTGGCCAGGAATTTTGTTTTTTAGGAAGGCTTTCTACTAATGGAATTCCTGGCCTTGAGAGGATGTTACTTTCGAAGGAAAGGATTTTTTTGTTATTAAAAGGTAAGATTCCTGGATTCTTATTGGACTGTTATCTCTGTTATGAGTAATCCATCTTTAGTCATTCACCACTAGGGTTGTATTTAATTAAGTCTGAGTTATTTTATGGTGGTTTTGTTTTGTTTTGTTTTTACTGAATTTTTTTCTCATTGCCGTGGCTTGAGGGCAATGGCGTGATTTCAGGTCACCACATTCTCTGCCTTCCAGGTTCAAGCAATTCTGCCTCAGCCTCCTGAGTAGCTGGATTTACAGGCATGTGCCACCATGCCTGGCTAATTTTTTGTATTTTTAGTAGAGATGGTGTTTCACCATGTTGACCAGGCTGGTCTAGAACTCCTGACCTTGGGTGATCCACCCGCCTCGGCCTCCCAAAGTGCTGGGATTACAGGCATGAGCCACTGCGCCCAGCCTGGGCCTGCTTCTTTCTCTTTTTCTTTTTTTTTTCATTAGCAGCTTAAAATTGGTGCCTTATTCAGACACAGGCAAAAGGACATTAGCCCAGCTTTGGAAATAGGTGTGAGCCCATATATGATTTTCCTAGTTTCTCCTCCCCCTTTGCTTTTTGCTCTCTTAGTATATTAATTGTTTTCACTCTCTGAATCTTTTTTCCCCATTTCTTTGGCAGACATTTTTACTTGTCTTGGAAGAGTAGGTGAAGAGCTGTTTTTAGGACTCTTTGAAAGGGTACAGTATGGGTGACAGTCTTGGCTAATGGTAACATCCAGGGAGCTGGGGTCAGCGTGAGCAAATTAGCAAAGCACTGGCACTCAGTGGCAGGAATACAAGTGACTGCAAAGTGTTAAACACATCTGGAAAGGGATACTGACATCATCCTCAGAATCTGTGGGGAGTTCACATAGCCAGTTAAGACCCATTCCTCTTTGACCCTATAAAGATTCTTTAAAGAATAATACCCTTAGTGGTTTTCTAGCCAGCTTGCCTGCTCATTTATCTTTGAGAACGACATGCCTTGTGGAGCTCCACAGGCCCCAGAGGGGTATGGATTCTGCATTTGAAAGTGCTGGAGCTGAGAGACTGGGTCTTGGTGGACCCCAAGAGGCCTGTTTCTCCTCTACTCATTGTTCTATTTTTTCCCAGCAGCTGGCATTGCTGTTTAAATGGGTTGTTCTTTGCTGTTTTAAGTTGTTTCATAGTGGTGTGTCAGGATTTGGGTTTTCTTAATACTTTCCAAGCTGGTGACTTGAGTGGTGCTTAGGGAGGAACTGTTTTAGGGCTGTTCTGGAGCTATAGAGGTCAGGTGTCTAGATACTCCCAGCTTGTCTGTTGAGGAGAATGCTGTTCTCATTGTGCTGCCTTTGGTGGTGCTGTGTGTGGCTCTTTAGATGTGGGTGGAGGTGAGCTGGGGGAGTTAATGAGATCTTTTTTAGGTGCTTTTGATAAAGTAGCCTGCACTACAGGATTCACTGTGACTTTTTTCCTTAACCTATGCATTTCTCTCTGCTAGCTTTTGCTGTCTTTCTCATGCCTTTGATTTTCCCAGCTCCTCTTAGTTGAATTAACCTAAGTGCTCTGCTATGGTTTAAATGTGTCCCCCAAAGTTTATGTGCTGGAAACTCAATCCTCAATGCAACAGTTGGGATGTGGGGCCTAATAAAATAGCCTTCATGAATGAGTTAATGTTGTTATTGTGGTAATAGATTAGTAATCACAGAGTGGGCTTATTATAAAACAGAGTTCAGCCCCTTTTGCCCTCTTGCTTTCTTGCACTCTCTTTTCCTTCTGCCTTCTGTAGTGGGATGATGCAGCAAGAAGACCCTTACCAGATGCAGGCCCCTCAACCTTGGACTTCCTAACATCCAGAACTGTTAAGAAATAAAATTTATTCCTTTCCTTTCCTTTTCTTCCTCCTTTCCCTTCTCCCTTTTCTTCCCTTCCCCTTCCTCCCTCTCTCTCTCCCTCCCTCCCTCCCTCCTTCCCTCCGTTCCTCCTTCCCTCTTTCTCTCTTTCCCTTCCTTCCTTTCCTTCTTTCCCTTCCTTCCTTTCCTTCCCTCCTTCCGTCTTTCCCTCCTTCCCTCCTTCCTTCCTTTTTTCTTTCCTTCCTTTTTTCCTTTTTATAAATTATGCAGTCTGTGGTATTCTTTTATAGAAGCATGAAATGGACAAAGACTCCGTTTTCAAGAGCAAGCACTTTTGTAGTTTCTGAGTGAATTATGACTGCAAAGGAAGTTCTATAGGTAGCCTCAGATCCACTACCTAGGAAGCATGCTACCAAGCAGACCTAGGATCTAGGATTTGATCAAGTGCTGGGCAACATGATACCTCTGCAATTTAGCACCTCCCTATATACCTCCAGTTGGCTCAGCCCATCAGGGCTAAAACTACCCCTCATATCCTAGTGTCTCTTGTAGGCAGAAGCCTTGCCTAAACCCTAAGCTGCTTGGCTCACATTCTGTCTTGTGCTTTTTTTGTAGGGGGTTCAAATATACACAAAAGAAATATGTTGAACCTCCATGCACCCAACCCGCAGATTAAGCAGTTACCTCCATTTTTCCAGATTTGTTTTGTCTGCTTCAATCTCCCTAAAAATTTATGTTTGTACAGGAAAGACTGAATAAATAGCTAATTCTCCACCCTACCTCTCATCTTAAGTCACTTTTCAGAGTAGTAAGTTAGTGACCTAGTAACCTTCCCTCTAATGACCAGTAGTTTTTTTTCTGAATACCATTATGAACTCATAGATTATTGTTTGCATTTGATGTATTTCAGGCCATTACAGTCTTTATTGTTTTGGATGCTTTCATTGTCTCATCTAGGTTAATAATTATCTCTTCAAGTTGACTTTCATGTCTTTTTGACGGGATCCTGTTGGACTTTGATGGCTTCCTTGCTTTCTGGCAAAAAAGATGTTCCAGGATCAATATACTGCACCATACATGGAGTCAGCCATTTCTCTAGGGAACCTTGATTCCTTTTAGTAGAGAACACAGTTTGAGGTCTTGGACTGAATGACTTTTGTGAACCTCCTCTCCTGAGACTACAGCCTGCATCCCTGCATATAGCCCGTTTGGAGCTCTTGCTGGGCACCAACAGATCTCCTAAAACTGCTATGTAGTTCTGCCTCACTCTTACAAAGATTCATCTCTTGAGAGTTTTGTGCTCTACCCTCAGATGTGGTCTTTCTGGTTCTGAAGCTTTTGCTTCAGTCACCCTGAATTTTGCCAGCCCTATGCATGCTATACCTTGGATTGCCAACTTGCCCTCACTGAAGCCAGTTTCTCAGGTTAGAATAGTTGCCCCAACCCATGCCTAATACTCTAGTAAATAAGGTTCTACCTGGGCTTACGTTAACTTTTGCTCCTTTGGGCCCTGTGTTCTACCAGCATTCCATTTATCTGAAACTGTCCCTCACCTTAAGAACGTATCTGTTCTTTAATGATTTACTGCTGCTTCCTGGGCTCGAAAGAATCCAGTTCAGGAGTTTCTGTTTTAGTTTGAGATCTTATAGTCCTGTCTCATCAGGTTGGTGTCAGCCCAGCTAGGATTAGGCAGAATTGGGTGGGGGCTGTAGTGCATTTTTGGCACAGCATGTACCTATCTGACTAATTCTCTGTCTTTTCTTTCCTGTTGTAATTCATGGGTCTTAGCATCTTCTGAATGGTGTTTAGTAGGTCATCCTGTTGATTTCTTGCTAGGGAGTAGCATACTCTGGCTCTGTACCATTGGCCAAGGGGCTTAAGGATAGATGAAGGGCTGCAGTTTTGTTAAATGGAACAATATGAAGAGATGGCATTGTAAAAAAAAAAAAAGGCTTGGCAGCAGGGCCCATTTGAATGGTTGGTCCTTGGCTCCTTTGTTGATATAGGCAGATCCTTGATGGGAATTTGGAATGATCCCAAATATTGTAGATCACTGGTACATCAAGTCATCCTCAAGGTTGTCTGTGTAACGGTCTTGAATGATATTTTGTCAGTCTTTGGAGATTCTCTGTATAGGATTTAATCATTTAGTTATTTCAGTTGAGCCTGTTTAGTTTCTTTGCAAGGAGATAAGAAATGTGAAAGAGATGCAGACATTAGGGAAAAAAAGTCAGGAGCCTTGTTTCCCCATCCTCTACTTGGGTTCTGGAACTAGACTCATAGGTGAGTAGTGAGGAGCTGGGCCCAAGCACATTAATCCTAGATCTAGCTATGCTTTGCACTCGCTCCAGTTCTTGTATCAAATTCACTTCAAGCCACCCAGAGTAGTATGTAGAGGAGTCATTCAGGACTGTGCTTATACTTCATTGTATCAAATGGGAGATCCAGTAATTTATAGCCTATTGTTTCTGGAGCCTGGAGATGGCTCTGCATAAGATTTGCTGAAGCAAATTTTATTACATTAGAAGAGAACCTAGCTGGCTGCATCCTACACTGGAAGCTTTTAGATGCTAATAAGGAGGTCATGTAAAGGTCACAGAATGACTCTGGAATCCATTCCCCGCCAAGAAAGAATAATGACATTCTATGTTGGCCTCTTTTCATTTCCCTTTGATTTTGAGTAATAAATTCTCTCCTCACTTCCCAGTTGAACTGTTTGGGAGTCTCTATTCCCTAGAAAGACTCTGGTCACATACCCATCAGATTAAATTAGGTGAAAACTCTTTGGCCTTTATGAATGTTGAAGAATTCCAAAGGGCTAATGGAAATTCTTCTGGAAGTAACTGCAACCTCTGCCTTCCGGGTTCAAGCCATTTTCCTGCCTCAGCCTCCCGAGTAGCTGGGATTACAGGTGTCCACTACCATGCCCAACTAATTTTTGTATTTTTAGTAGAGATGGGGTTTCACCATGTTGGCCAGGCTGATCTAGAACTTTTGACCTCAGGTGATCTGCCCGCCTCAGCCTCCCAAAGTGCTGGGATTACAGGTGTGATCCACCGCACCCAGTTAAACTTCAGTTTTTCATGTTCCATGCGTAGGTCAGGGTCTTAGGGAGTGATTCATTCTAGCAGAACTCCCTGGATTTTAAGGCAGATGTTCCATTTATTAATTGACAAAGGAGGCATATTTTTCCCCTGGTAACCCAAAGATTTAGGTCATTTTCCCAGAGACTCCATTTCCACTGTGAGGGTTCTTGGAAAACTAAGCAGAGGATGAGGAAAAGTCTATGAACAAGCTTGCTGGTCTCTCCCTGTCCTACAAAAGAGTATACCTCTTCTGTAACCAGAAGGCCCTTTTGATTAGTCAAGGCTGGACAGACTGAGATTGTGTGTGTGTGTGTGTGTGTGTGTGTGTGTGTGTGTGTGTCTTGAGACAGGGTCTCACTCTGTCACCCAGGCTGGAGTGCAGTGGTGAGATCAGAGCTCACTGCAGCTTCCACTTCCTGGGCTCAAGTGATCCTCATATTTCAGCCTCCAGAGGAGCTGGGACTATACGAATGTTTTACCGCACCCAGTTCATTTTCTAATTTTTTGTAGAGATGAGGTTTCACTGTGTTGCTCAGGCTGGTCTTGAACTCCTGGCCTCACGGAATCCTCCTGCCTTAGTCTCCCCGTGGGCTGGGATTATAGGTATGAGCCACCTCACCTGACCTGCGACGATTTTTCAACAATGTAATTTCTCTTTTACAGAGCCACCTAAGCTGAAGATTCCCTTGAGAACAAGTACTGTCCTGCGGTTTCATGGCCTTTCTTCCATTTGTGGTTCTTGTGAAGTGGAATTTAAATGACATCAAGATGGATAAACCCTAGTTTCCCAGTGCTGGAATATAGAAAATGGATGGACAAGTAAATCCCACTCAGCACCCATAGTCCAGGCATGGGGATCTCAACACACCTGAGCCCCAGACATCACCTTTCATTGTGAGTAGCTCTGAGATGACACTTCTGCTGTTCCCAATTCCAGCATTAATTGGATTAGTTATTTTATGAAGAATTTTCATATGCCACAATCCTGACCATATCTTCAAGTGAACAGAAAAATTCTATTAAAAAGTCAACCTTCTGTCTCACTCTGTTGCCCAGACTGGAGTGCAGTGGTGCAATTATGGCTCACTGCAGCCTCAACCTCCTGGGCTCAAGCAATCCTCCTGCCTCAGCCTCACAAGTAGCTGGGACTACAGGTGCTTGTCACCACACCTCACTAATTTTCCCATTTGTGTTATATGTGGATTCCACGGGACTGACTTCGAAAACTTGAGTATGCGTGGATTTTGGTATACACAGAAATGGGAGAGCTGGAACTAATCCCCCCATATACCAAGGGACAAATTGTATCTGTTTTTACAATTATACAGTAGGAGACATTATGTTCCATGACAATGGTAATTTTTAATGACAGTTTTTAATTGAGTGAAATTACCATAAAAATAATAATAGTAGCAGCTAATATTTACTGAGCTGTTACTAGGTGCCTATAAATAGCATAGATTTTTAAATTCTCCATAATTCTTCCTTATTTCACTTAACCACTCTATTTTAAATTACTCATGCTTGCCTCAGTAGCACACATACTTAAGTTGGAACAATAGAGAGATTGGCACGGCCTCTGTGAAAGAATGACATGCAAATTTGTGAAGCATTCCATATTTTTTTAAAAAAAGAGAAAAAAATTACTCCCAGATTTTCACTGTGTTTGTGCATATGACCTTTTGTTTAGGTTGAATTGTATCCAAAGATGAAATTTCCAGAAGTGAGATTACTGTGAGTCACAGGGCATGAACATTCTTATTACCCTTGATGTAAATTGCAAAGCTTTCAGGCATGGTGGCTGTCAGCCTGTAATTCCAGCACTTTGGGAGGCTGAGGTGGGAGGATTGCTTGAGGCCAGGAGTTGGAGGAGGCAGTCACTGTCTGTATGATTTAAAAAAAATTTCCAAGCTTTATGCTGGAAGGCTTATATACATTTTAAACACCACTAATACTACAAGAAAATGGCCATTTCACTGCACCTTCGCCCACACAGGTATTATAATTTAACAAGTTATTTTCTGTGTGATAAATGAAAGACCTCATATTATTACTTTGTCACCCATTCTTTTTTCTTTTTTGAGATGCAGTCTCGCTCTGTCGACCAGGCTGGAGTGCAGTGGTGTGATCTCAGTTCACTGCAACCTGTGCCTCCCAGGTTCAAGTGATTCTCCTGCCTCAGCCTCCTGAGTAGCTGGGATTACAGGCACATGCCACCATGCCTGGCTAATTTTTGTATTTTCAGTAGAAATGTGGTTTCACCATGTTGATCAGGCTGGTCTCGAACTCCTGACCTCGTGATCTACCCGCCTTGGCCTCCCAAAGTGCTTGATTACAGCTGTGAGCCATGTGCCCAGCCTATTTGTCACATATTTTATCTTTCCTTATGTTAGCTTATTAGCTTTATTTCTTTATTGTCCTTTTTTTTTTTTTTTTTTTTTTTGAGATGAAGTATCGCTCTGTCTCCTAGGCTTCAGTGTAGTGGCACAGTCTCAACTCACTGCAGCCTTGACCTCCTAGGCTCAGGTGATCCTTCCACCTCAGTAGTTGGGACTATAGGCACATGCCACTATGCCTGGCCAATTATTTTTATTTTTTTATTTTTACTAGAGAGGAGGTCTTGCTTTGTTTCTTAGGCTGGTCTGGAACTCCTGGCCTCAAGCAATCCCCCCACCACCCCCTCCCAAAGTACTGGTATTATAAGCATGAGCCACCATGCCTGGGGTATCTGTGTCTTTTCCATTTATTTATAGAGTTACTTTGTCTTTTACTAATTCAATGATCTGTTTAATCTTTTATTAAATTATAAAAATAATAAATACTTTTAAATAAGTGAAAAATGTCCTTCACTCTTTAGACCCATAATCTTATCTCAGGAAATAATTGCAATTGAGAAAATGGGCCATATCCTTCAAGATACGTACATGGTGATTGAACATCACTTCATATTTTCATATTTCGTGGACATTTGTGCCAATACCAATTGATCTATCTTAATCCTTTTCATGGTTGCATAATATTTTATTATATGGATGTATCACAATTTACCAGTACCAGTCAACTGCTGGAGGCATTTAGGCTCCTTCTAATATTTGCTTTGAGCTCTTTATATAATTAAAAATTAACCCCCTCAGCCAGGTGTGGCAGCTCACACCTGTAATCCCAGCATTTTGGAAGGCTGAGGTGAGAGAACTGCCTGAGTATAGGAGATCACCACCAACCTGGTCAACATAGTGACACTTTGTCTCTACTAAAAATTAAAAAAAAAAATGAGCTACACGTTGCAGTGCACACCTGTAGTCCCAGCTACTGGGGAGGCTAAGACTGGAGGATCACTTGAGTCTAGAAGGTTGAGGCTGCAGTAAGCTATGATCACACCATTGCACTTTAGCTTTGCTAAGAGCAAGACTGCATTTCTTAAACAAAATAAAAATTAGATGGGAATATTGCTCAAGCCCTGGAGGTTGAGGTTGCAGTTAACTGTGATTGCACCACTGCAGTCCAGCTTAGGTGATGGAGCAAGACCCTTTCTCTAAAAATAAAATAAAAATTAACCTTCTATCATATTTCCCAGTAACACCTTCCCTCCTACATTTCTCCTAGAAGCCCTTAAATTTTGTTTTTCACATATCGTTTAAAACTTTTAAGTGCTGATGTCTGTCTGTGTCATCCCTCTTTTTTTTTTTTTTTTAAATGTCTTTTTGTCACTTCTAGCTGGACCTACCATGAAAGACTTCTGAATCCAGGAAGAGAAACTGACTGGGCAACATGTTATTCAGGTACAAAAAGACTTGGACTGTAACTCAAAAATGATCAAATAATAGTGCATGCATCAAGTGCAATGGGAAGCTCTTCTGGAGAGGGAGAGAAGCTTCCAGTTAAGGTGACATTGAAGCCAAGTCCTGTAAGATAAGGAAGAATTGTATGAGAGTGGGGAGGGAAGGGGGAGGTGGAGGGATGGGGATTGGGCTGGGATGGGATGGAGTGAGCTGCCCAGGCAGGGAAACCAGCACTATACAGACCTGAACAATGAAGATGGCACATTTTGTTCAGGGAATGGTGAATTAAGTGTAGCAGAAATGCTTTGTAGAGACAGTAATTTACTTGTATGGAATTTTGCCCAAGAGACCTCATTACAGTTTCTAATTTTTTGATGTTATCATGCATCACTGCCCTTGTCAGATAGTATCATGATCACAGTAACATCAAGCATAATATTTCATTGATTCTCACAAAAACAGGTGGGTGCCACAGTTATCCCCATTATATGCACAAAATGATGAAGACTTGGGGTTAATGAGTGATTTGCCCAAGCTCACCTGAATATTAAGACTGAATCAAATGTTAGTCTGGTCTGACTTTAATGCTTGCCTTGTTCATGAGCACCATGCATTGCCTCTCCTATGCAGTTAAGCAGTTAGACAGGTGAGAGAAGAGCCCGTGTGATATCGGGGGAAATTCACCCCTGATATTTCATGTAGGTTCTTTTCTGTTTTCCCTGAGTGTCGGCCGATCTGAGAAATAAAGGGAAAGAGTACAAAAGAGAGAAATTTTAAAGCTGGGTGTCCAGGGGAGACATCACATGTCGGCAGGTTCCGTGATGCCCCGCAAGCTGCAAAACCAACAAGTTTTTATTAGTGATTTTCAAAAGGGGAGGGAGTGTACGAATAGGGTGTGGGTCACAGAGATCACTTGCTTCACAAGGTAATAAAATATCACAAGGCAAATGGAGGCAGGGCAAGATCACAGGACCACAGGACCGGGGCGAAATTAAAATTGCTAATGAAGTTTCGGGCACGCATTGTCATTGGTAACATCTTAGGAGAAAGGGTTTGAGAGCAGAAAACCCATCTGACCAAAATTTATTAGGCGGGAATTTCCTTGTCCTGATAAGCCTGGGAGTGCCACGCAAGCCCAGGGCTTATTTCATCCCTTATCTACGACTGTAAAAGACAGCCGTCCCCAAAGCGGCCATTTCAGAGGCCTCCCCTTAGGGATGCATTCTCTTTCTCAGGGATGTTCTTTGCTGAGAAAAAGAATTCAGCAATATTTCTCCTATTTGCTTTTGAAAGAAGAGAAATATGGCTCTGTTCTACTCGGCCCACAGGCAGCCAAAGTTTAAGGTTATCTCCCTTGTTCCCTGAAATTGCTGTTATCCTGTTCTTTATTCAAGGTGCCCAGGTTTCATATTGTTTAAACAACTTGTGCAGTTAACGCAATTATCACAGAGTCCTGCGGGGACATTCATCCTCAGCTTACGAAGATGACCAGATTAAGAAATTAAAGTAAGACAGGCATAGGAAATCACAAGGGTATTGATTGGGGAAGTGATAAGTGTCCATGAAATCTTCACAATTTATGTTCAGAGATTGCAGTAAAGACAGGCCTAAGAAATTATAGAAGTATTAATTTGGGGAACTAATAAATGTCCATGAAATCTTCACAATTTATGTTCTTCTGCCGTGGCTTCAGCCGGTCCCTCCGTTTGGGGTCCCTGACTTCCCGCAACACGTTTTTCTCTACTCACAGGCTTCTGACCAAATGTGTGTGCAGAGTTTCTACACCAGTTCTCCAACTCTCTGGATACCAACCGCGTATCCCACAATTCCATTCTGACACTACCTAGAGTTAGCGCAGAACCCACAGGTTAGGGGCTCAGTCCCACAAGACCACCCTCACTTCAGATGCCAGTTGCAAGTCCTAGGTTGTCACCTGTATTTTGACCAACCAGTTAGAAATCAGGGTTTCCCATGACCCTCTTCTTGAGTTTAATTATTTACTAGAACAACTCACGGAACTTAGAAAAACAGGTTTTTTTCTTTTCTTTTTAAGAGACAGGGCCTCGCTCTGTTGTCCAGGCTGGTGTGCAGTGGTGCAATCATAGCTCATTGAAGCCTCAACCTCCAGGGCTCAAGTGATTCTCCTGCTTCAGCCTCTCAAGTAGCTGGAATTACAGGGTTCCCACCACCACATTTGGCTAATTTCTTTTATTTTTTGTATAGATGGGGTCTTCTTATGTTGACCAGGCTGGTCTCAAATTCCTAGGCTCAAGTGATTCTGCCCACCTCTGCCTCCCAAAGTGCTGGGATTATGGGCATGAGCCAGCGCATCTGGCCACCGTATTTTCTATTACTGGCTCAATGTAATGGCTCCATCTCAGGAACAGCCAATGAAAGAGATGCACAGGACAAGGTAAGTGGGGAGGGGCACAGAGCTTCCATGCCCTCTGTTGGGCACACTACCCTCCCAGGACCTCCTTGTGTTTAGCAACAC
Source organism: Homo sapiens (assembly GCF_000001405.40). Lineage (NCBI taxonomy): Eukaryota > Metazoa > Chordata > Mammalia > Primates > Hominidae > Homo > Homo sapiens. The sequence goes on from NW_021160000.1 coordinate 65,206, forward strand.
AGAAGCTCTCCAAACCCTGCTGTTTGGGTTTTTATGGAGGCATGATTGATAAAATCATTGGCCATTGGTAGTTAAGTCAATCTCCAGTTCCTTTTGCCTCCTGGAGTTCAGCAGGTGAGGCTGAAAGTTCCAAGCCTCAAAAAATGTGCTGGGGCCAGGTGCGGTGGCTCACTCCTGTAATCCTAGCAGTTTGGAAGGCTGAGGCACATGGACCACTTGAGGTCAGGAGTTTGAGACCAGCCTGACCAACATGGTGAAACCCCGTTTCTACTAAAAATAACAACAATTAGCTAGGCGTTGTGGCACATCCCTATAATTCCAGCTACTCGGGAGGCTGAGGCAGGAGAATTGCTTGAACCTGGGAGGTGGAGGTTGTAGTGAGCTGAGATTGTGCCATTGCACTCCAGCCTGGGCTACAAGACCCAAACTCCATTTTAAAAGAAAAATGTGGTTGCTTTCTCTGGCAGCTAGCCCTCCTCCTGAAGCAGTCTAGGAGCTTGCAGCCACCCTGTTAGCTCAACAGCATCCCACATGCATTCTTACCATGCTGCAGTTCTGGAAGACCTTAGAGGCCCTTGTGTCAGGAACCTGGGACTAAGACTAAATATCAAAACAGAAAATGCTCCTATTACCTCTGTCACGAAGGGCTTTATAAGAGCTTTGGAAGCTCTATGCCAGGAACCAGGGGCAGAGACCAAATGTATATTTCTTTTCAGTCTCACTCTGCCACTGAGGCTGGAGTGCAGTGATGTGATCATAGCTCACTGCAGCCTTGACCTCCTAGGCTAAAGCAATCCTCCCACCTTAGCCTCTCCAGTAGCTGGAACTACAGGCATGCATCACCATGTCCAGCTGATTTTAATTTTAATTTTGTAAAGGCAGGGTCTTCCTATTTTCCCCAGGCTGATCTCTAACTCTTGGCCTCAAGCAGTCCTTCCTCTTTGGCCTCCCAAAATGTTGGGATTACAGATGGGAGCCCCCATACCCACCAATCACAAGGATCTTTATAAGAGAAGGAGGTAGGAGAGTCAGAATTAGAGAAAGTGATGTGGTAATGGAAGAAGAGGTCAGAGAGGGAGATTTGAAGATGCTGCACTTCTGGCCTTGAATATGGAGTCACGAGGTAAGTCAAGGAATGGGGGTGGCTTCTAGAAGCTGGAAAAGGCAAAGGAGCACATTCTGTCTAGAGCCTCCCCCAGAAGGAATGCAGCCCCTCTGACACCTTGACTTCAGCCTTAATAGACCTAGTTGGGCTTCTGGCCCCCAGAACTGTAAGATGGTAGATTTGTGGTGTTTGATGCCACTGAATGTAGGGTACTTTGTTGTAGTAACAACAAAAAATGAACATGAAGCTGGGACCTCATGTTACAGTTGCTCACGCCTGTAATCCCAGAACTTTAGGAGGCTGAGGTGGGAGGATTGCTTAAGCCCAGGAGCTTAAGACCAGCCTGGGCAACATAATGAGACCTCATGTCTAAAAAAAATTTTTTTAAAAGGCCAGGCGCAGTGGCTCACACCTGTAATCCCAGCACTTTGGGAGGCCGAGGAGGGTGGATCACGAGGTCAGAAGTTCAAGACCAGCCTAGCCAAGATGGTGAAACCCCATCTCTACTAAAAATACAAACATTAGCCAGGTGTGGTGGTGGGTGCCTGTAATCCCAGCTACTCGGGAGGCAGAGAATCACTTGAACCCAAAAGGCAGACATTGCAGTGAGCCAAGATGGCACCCTTACACTTCAGCCTGGGCGACCGAGACTCCGTCTCAAAAAAAAAAAAAAAGCCATGTGTTGTGGCATGCAGCTGTAGTCTCAGTTCCTAGGGTGGCTGAGGCGGGAGGATTGTTTAAGCCTGGGAGGTTGAAGTTGCTGTGAGCTGTGATTGCACCAGTGTACTCCAGCCTGGGCAATAAAGCAAGACCTTGTTTCAAAAAGAAAGAAAGAAATGAGCATGGTAGGAATGGGGACAGATGGCAGTGTTAAGTAGAGTGGTCAGGGTTGGCCTCATAAGTGAATATTGAGCAAAAGTTTGAAGCAGGTGATGGAGCTGGCCAAGGTGCTGAGGGAAGAGCATTGTAGGCTGAGTCAACAGGATAAAGGCATTAGAAGGAAACTCTCTGGTGTGTCTGAGGCTCTGGAAGGAGGCCAGTGGAGCAAAGAGATAGAGGGAGTGAAGTCAGCGAGGAGGCCAGGGAGTTGCTGGGCTGGGATTGGTACAGATTGTGTAAGCCCTGGGACGCTATTGCTGGGGCTTTGGCTTTTACTCTGACTAAAATGGGAACCACCGAGGGCTTCTGAGCAGAGAGGCGATGTGATCTGTCTCCTGATTTAAAAGCACGAACTGGCTGCCAAGTTGAGAAAGACTATGGGAAGATTTGGGTAGAAGCATGGGGGCCAAGCTGTGGCAACATCCCGGTGGGAGATTATAGTGATCCTGACTGGGTTCACGGTGGTGGTGAGAGATGGTCAGAGCCTGGATACATGTTGAAGTCAGTCAGTAGGATTTCCTGACAGACTGGATGTGAGCTGTGAGAGAAGGCAGTGGTCAAGGTTGACTTTGATTCTGATTGAATTATTAAGTAATTTTAAAAAACACTACTGCCTTTCCCAATCCTACCAAGTAAAGGATGCTAGATAAAAGAAATCTCAAGTCAGGCCAGGTGCAGTGGCTCACACCTGTAGTTCCAACAGTTTGAGAGGCAGAGATGGGAGTATGTTTTAAGGCCATGAGTTTGAGAGCAGCCTGGGCAACACAGCAAGACCTCGTCTCTACAAAAATAAAAAAAAATAAATTTAATAAAATAAATATAGCCAGGCATGATGGTATGTACCTATGGCCCCAGTTACTCATGTGGCTGAGATGGGCAGATCTCTTGATTCTAGGAGTTTGAGGCCAGCTTGGGCAACATAGCAAGACTTCTCTCTCTACAAAAATGAAAAAAATGCCTGACATGGTGGTACTTGCCTGTATTCCCAGGTATGGGGGCAGCTGAGGCAGGAGCATCTCTTGAGCCCAGTTGGTCGAGGTTGCAGTGAGCTATGATTATACCACTGCACTCCATCCTGGGTGACAGAGTGGGACCCTGTCTCAAAATACAAATACAAATGAAATCTCAAGTCAGACCAGTCCCTTCTAGGCTATGTAGGCCTTGTAACCACATAGCTGCATGATCGGGTTTGTGTGGCTGTGGATGAGGAGACCCCTGTCCAATTGTTGGCTATGTAATCAGTTTATTTTTCAATATAGTAATCAAATATATTTCATCATACTTGATGGTCTCAGATATGTGTGGATTTTGGAATTCCCCTTGGAACAGGTTGTAACATCTTATTGGCTCCATAATTCCATAATTTTTTAAATCTGATCAGTTTTTAATAAGATCAGAATTGATATTAGACTACTTAATCGGTTTTGTTAATGAGAAAATGAAATTGTGTTGTTTGCATTTTATCCAAGATGGGTGTCATATTGGCTAAATCTCATCAATACTTGAACAAATGCAAAATTAGAGTTTCTTTATCATGAAACACGATGTAATTCTTGAAGAAGATGCCATTTCTTTTTTTTCTTTTTTTTTAAGCTAAGAGTCTTTCTCTTGTCACCCAGGCTGGAGTGCAATGGTGCGATTTTGGCTCACTGCAACCTTCACCTTCTGGGTTCAAGCAATTCTCCTGCCTCAGCGTCCCGAGTAGCTGGGATTACAGGCGCCCGCCACCATACCCAGCTAATTTTTGTATTTTTAGTAGAGATGGGGTTTCACCATGTTGGCCAGGCTCCTCTGGAGCTCCTGACCTCAGGCAATCTGCCTGCCTCAGCCTCCCAAAACTCAAGGAGTACAGATGTGAGCAACCATGCCCGGCCTCCATTTCTTTTTTGTAGTCTTTAATAAACAGCTGCTATCATTGCAGACTTGCTATTTAGGCACTTAGGAATTTTTCACTAGAAGGCATGTAAATAAAGACCATGGGCATTTGTAATGAATTTAGGGTTCATTCTTTGACTACATGACTGTCCCCAGAGCTGTAACTTTATTGAATTTTTTAGAAGCCATTTAGCTAGCAACTGAGCCTAACCAGCCACTCACCGTCATTATTCAGTGCTCTTTTATTATTGTCTATTTCTCCTCCAACTTGGCTACACTCACAAAGTGATAAAAACTTGCATTTGTTTTCTTTCCTTTTCAGAGACAGCGTCTTGCTCTGTTGCTCAGGCTACAGTACAGTGACATGATCATGGTTCACTGTAGCCTCAAACTCCTGGGCTCAAGCGGTTCTCTCACTTGAGTCTCCCAAGTAGCTGGGACTACAGACATGTGCCACCATGTCCAGCTAATTTTTTATCATAGAGACGGGATCTTGCCACGTTGCTCCGACTGGGCTCAAAACTCCTGACCTCAAGTGATCCTCCTGCCTCAGCCTCCCAAAGTGCTGGGATTACAGGCAGGCATGACCACCTGTGCCCAGCCCCCTATTATTATTATTATAAATAATAGCTTTATTAAAATATTCACATACCATTCACTTTATTTATTGAAATCTGCAATTCAGTAGGTTTTAGAATATTCACAGAGCTGTGCATCGATCACCCACAGTCACTTTTAGAACCTTTCATTACCCTATAGAGAAATCCATACCCCTTAGCCACTACCTCCTACTCTCCCCACCTACCTTCGCCCCAGCCTTAGGCAACCATTGATTAATTTTTTGTCACTATAGATTTGCCTAATCTGGACAAATAGAATTGTACAATATGTGATCTTTTGTGGCTTTTTTTCCCTCTTAGCACAGTGTTTTCAAAGTTCCTTTATGTCATAGTGTGTATCAATATTTCATTCCGTCTATGGCAGTATTCCATGGTAGAGACACACTGCATTTTGTTTATCTGTTCATCAGTTGGTGGATATTTGGGTTGTTTCCATGTATTCCATGTATTGGTCATTATGAATAATGCTGCTATGAAGATTGTTGTACAAGTTTTTGTGTGGACATATATTTTTATTTTTCTGGGATATATGCCTAGGAGTGAAATTGTTGCATTATAAGATGACTGTACATTTAGCCTTTTGAGAAACTGCCAGACTGTTTTCTAACATGGCTACACCAGTTGGGTACAATGGCTCACACCTGTAATCCCAGCTACTCAGGAGGCTCAGCTAGGAGGATGGCTTGAGCCCATGAATTCAAGACCAGCCTGGGCAAGATAGTGAAACCCTGTCTTGATTTTTTAAAAATCCAATTAAAATGACAAGAAAAGAAATACCCAAACAAAATGGTTACACGATTTTATGTTCCCGCCAGTAATGTATGTGGGTTCCAATTCCTCCACATCTTCACTGACATTTTTTTTTTTCTAGATAGGGGCTTGCTCTGTCTCTCAGGCCGCAGTGCAATGATGCCATCACAGTTCACTGCAGCCTTGACCTCCCAGGCACAAGTGATTCTCTCATCTCAGCCTTCTGAGTAGCTGAAAATTACAGGTGTATGCCACCATGCCTGGCTAATTTTTATATTTTTCTGTAGTGATGGGATTTTACCATGTTGCCCAGGCTGGTCTCATACTCCTGGCCTCAAGTGATCTGCCCACCTCAGCCTCCCTAAGTTCTGGAATTACAGGCTGCCACCATGCCCGGCCTCCACCAACATTTGCCATTATCTGTTTTTTTTTCTTCCTTTATACCTTAAAGCAGTATAAGAACAAGTGTCTTCAATTATAGGAAACAGTATAATCCCAGGGCATTGGGAGGCTAAGACAGGAAGATGTCTTGATGCCAGGAGTTTTTTTTGTTGTTGTTGTTTTTGTTTTTGTTATTGTTGTTGTTGTTGTTTTTGACAGAGTCTCGCTCTGTCACCCAGGGTGGAGTGCAGTGATGGGGTCCACTGCATCCTCCACCTCCCAGGTTCAAGTGATTCTCCTGCGTCAGCCTCCCGAGTAGGTGAGACTACAGGTACATGCCACTCCTGCCCAACTAATTTTTGTATTTTTGATAGAGTCAGAGTTTCACCATGTTGGCCAGGCTGGTCTTGAACTCCAGACTTCAGGTGATTTGCCTGCCTTAGCTTCCCAAAGTGCTGGGATTACAAGCATGAGCCACCATGCCCAGCCTGATGCCAGGAGTTTTAGACTAGCCTGGGCAACCTAGCAAGACCTTGTCTCTACAGAATATTTAAAAATTAGCCAAATGTGGTGGTGCCTGTGTATAGTCTCTCTCCCTCTCTCTCTTTTTTTTTCTTTCTTTTTGTGACATGGTCTGGCTCTGTCACCCAGGCTGAAGTGCAGTGGTGTGATCATGGGTCACTGCAGCCTGAAACTCCTGGGATCAAGTGATCAATCCTCCCACCTCATCCTACCAAGTAGTAGGGACCACAGTTGTATGCCACCCAGGTCTTGCTATGTTGCCCAGGCTGGTCTTGAGCTCCTGGCCTCAAGCAATCCTCTCACCTTGGCCCCCCACAGTGCAAGGATTACAGGTATGAGCCACCATGCCTGGCCCCTACCCTGCCTATTGAGAACCAAAAGAAGGATCCAAATTCTCCTTAGCTCAACTCGAGCCATTTCCTGATTGCTTCATCAGCAAGGACCTGGTTATTGGGCTGTCCAGGCCTCCCAAGCAGCACAGAAATGAGGTGAAGGAGTTTTCCTGCTGCTCCACTCTGTAAGGAGTTGGAGGGTGATGTTTACTCGTTTGCAGAGAGAGATGCCTTGTAGGCACCTCAGGATGGAGAGGACCCTGATTCCAATGTCCTTTTTTTCTTTAGAAACAGGACCTTGCCCTGTCACTCAGGATGGAGTTCAGTGGTCCTATCATGGTTCATTATAGCCTCAAACTCCCAGGCTCAAGCAATCCTACCATGTCAGCCTTCCCAGTAGCTGGGACTACAGGTAAGCATCGTGACACTCAGTGAATTTTGTTTTTATTTTGTTGTAGAGATGGGACCTCAGTATGTTGCCACGGCTGACCTTGAACTCCTGCACTCAAGGGATTTTCCTGCCCTGGCCTCCCGAAGTATTGGTATTACAGGCATGAGCCATTGTGCCCACCGTCTCTGGTTCTTAACCTTCTGCCTCCCTCTTCCAGTTTTAAAGAATGCTTGTAATTACACGGGCTCTCCTAGATACTCCAGGATAGTCTTGTTTTAAGGTCAGCTGATGAGCAACATTAATTTTATCTGCACTCTTAATTCCCCCTTCCTATGTAATTGTGCTGTGTAACATAGGACATGAGCAATTGCTGGCAGTGGGGGTTATTATTTTGGCCACCACAGTAACTATTTTATGCCAGGTACTCAGCTAAGCACTGGTGAATTAAGCATGAATAACACACACTCCCTAATCTCCATCCATTCATGGGAGGAGCACCTCACCTGCCATGCTCCTGAGAATCTCAGGAGTCAAAGAAGTCTTCTATGAGGAGGTGATGCCAAAGCAGACAAGTGACAGAGGAGTCAAAGCTAGCTAGGAAGAGAGTAGAGGTTTAAGGGGAAGCATATTATAAGCAGAGGATATTACCCACTTCAGAGACTCCCAGAGGAGAAAGAGTGTGCGTTGAAGGGGCAGATGAGGCTCAGTTGGACTTCATAGCAGATGAAATGGAGAGGGGCAAGCAGTAAGGCTGCCTTGCAAGGCAGGGCAGAGCAGGGGCTGTTAAGGAGTTTGGACTTAATCCCTGAGGCAAGGAGAAGTGATGTAAATGGAGTAACATGATGAGATTCATGGATTAGAGACATGGCTCAGGCTGCTGTAGAGAAGGCACCAGGGAGAGCAGATGGCTCAATGGGTGTGCAGGAGACCTCTCACTGAGTTTAGGGAGAGGTTTTTAAAACAGAAGAAGTTTGAGTAATTTAAATGATGATGGGAAGGAGCTAAAAGTGGGGGATAGGTTAAAGATACAGGGAAGTGGGAGGAAGAACTGACAAGTGAGGTTCCAGAGAGGGCAGGAGAAGAGGAGATTCCCATAGGGGGATTAACACTTTCTTTTCTTTTTTCTTTCTAAGACAGGGTCTCACTCTGTCGCCCAGGCTGGAGTGCAGTGGCACAATCTTGGCTCACTGTAGTGTAGACTTCCCAGGCTCAAGGGATTTCTCCCACCCCAGACTCCCAAGTAGCTGGAACTACGGGTGTGCACCACCACCACACCTGGCTAATGTTTCTTTTTTTGGTAGACACAGGGTCTCACTATTTAGCACTGATTGGTCTCCAACTCCTGGCCTCAAGTGATCCTCCTGCCTAGGCTTCCCAAATTGCTGGGATTACAGGCATGAGCCACAATGCCTGGCCTCTGCTAGTTCCGTATTCTCTAGAGTTGTCTTTACTTTGTGCTAGTGTGTCCCTCATTGTGCTGATCCTCTGTAAAAAGTAATACCTTTTTTTTTTTCCGAGATGGAGTTTCACTCTTGTTGCCCAGGCTGGAGTGCAATGGCGCTATCTCGGCTCAGCACAACCTCCACCTGCCGGGTTCAAGCGATTCTCCTGCCTCAGCCTCCCGAGTAGTTGGGATTACAGGCATGTGCCACCATGCCCAGCTAATTTTGTATTTTTAGTAGAGATGGGGTTTCTCCATGCTGGTCAGGCTGGTCTCGAACTCCTGACCTCAGGTGACCTGTCTGCCTTGGCCTCCCAAAGTGCTGGGATTACAGGCATGAGACATTGTGCCTGGCCAAAATTAATACTTTTTATATTAAATTTACATATATATACGTTTTTTCTTTTTGATACCAGGTCTCACACTGTCACCCAGGCTGGAGTACAGTGGCACAACCTCTGCTCACTGCAGCCTCCACCTGCCAGGCTCAAGCAATTCTCCTGCCTCAGCCTCCCGAGTAGCTGGGATTACAAGTAAGTGCCACCACACCCAGCTGATTTTTGTGTTTTTTGTAGAGATGAGGTTTCGCCATGTTTCCCAGACTGTTCTCAAACTCCTGAGCTCAAAGCAGTCCACCCACCTTGGCCTCCCAAAGTGCTGGGATTACAGATGTGAGCCATCTTGCTCATTCTAGTTTAAACTTTTGAGTGGTTTGTGTCTCCTGATTGGACTCCTACAAATACAGAATTGATGCTAGGAAGGGTACCAGGAGATAGACGCACACAGATGGGATTTGGGAATAGGTTTGGTTATCCAAGGAGCAGTGCTGAGCTCCTTGCTAATGGGATATGGGATGCTGATGATTTCCAGGAAGTGACCTCACAATGACTCAAGCTACCACATGCTGTTGATTGTGAAATGCCAGTTGAAGCATATGTCCTGCGAGCTTAGGGGTGCTACAAGTTGACCACTGCAGCAGTAAAGATGACTCTGAAGAATGGCGTGGGATGGATCCTTTCGAATGCACTTGAGCAGCGGTCTCCAACCACAGGGCCACAGAGCTGGAGGTGAGCAGCAGGTGAGTGAAGGGAAACTTCATCTGTATTTCTAGCCCCTCCCATCACTTGCATGACCACCTGAGCTCCATGTCCTGTCAGATCAGCAGCAGCATTAGATTCTCATAGGAGCACAAACTCTGTTGTGAAGTGTGCATGCGAGGGATCTAGGTTGTGTACTCCTTATGAGAATCTAATGCCTGATATTCTGTTACTGTCTCCCATCACCCCAGATGGACAGTCTAGTTGCAGGAAAACAAGCTCAGAGATCCCACTGAGTCTACGTTATAGTGAGTTGTAGAATCATTTCATTATATGTTACTATGTAGTAATAATAGAAATAAAGTGCACAATATATGTAATGCACTTGAATCATCCTGAAATTATTCCCTTACTCCCAGTCTGTGGAAAAATTGTCTTCCACACATTCACTCTGTTTTTTGGTAGAGGCAGGGTCTTAATATATTGCCCAGGCTGATCTCAAACTCCTGGCCTCAAGTAATATACCTCTCTCAGCCTCCCAAAGTGCTGAGATTACAGGCATAAGCCACCACCCTCAACCAAGACTTTCTTAAACCAAATAAAAATTAAGTGAGATTACTTGAGCCCAGGTGGTCAAGGCTGCAGTGAGCCTGATTGCACCACGACTCCAGCCTAGGTGACAGAATGAGACTGTCTCAAAAAATAAAATAAATAAAATAAAATAAAATAAAATAAAATAAAATAAAATAAATAAAATAAAATAAAATAAAATAAAATAAAATAAAATAAATAAAAAAAATAAAATAAAATATAAAATAAAATAAAATATAAAATAAAATATAAAATAAAATAAAATATAAAATAAAATAAAATATAAAATAAAATAAAATATAAAATAAAATAAAATAAAATAAATATAAAATAAAATAAAAAAATAAAATATAAAATAAAATTAAAATAAAATAAAATAAAATAAAATAAAATACAAATTAACCCTTTATGACATTCCCAGTAACTTTCCCTCCTAAGTGTTCCCCACAAGTCTTTGAATTCTGTTTAATTTTCACATAACATTTAAGACATTTAAGAACTTATGTCTATCTGTGTCATCCCTTTATGTCAAAAGATGTCTTTTTGTCACTTCCAGCTGGATCTACCATGAAAGACTTCTGAATCCAGGAAGAGAGACTGACTGGGCAACATGTTATTCAGGTACAAAAAGATTTGGACTATAACTTAAAAATGATCAAATAATAGTGCATGCATCAAGTGCAATGGGAAGCTCTTCTGGAGAGTGAGATAAGCTTCCAGTTAAGGTGACATTGAAGCCAAGTCCTGAAAGATGAGGAAGAGTTGCATGAGAGTGTGGAGGGAAGGGGGAGGTGGAGGGATGGGGAGTGGGCTGGGATGGGATAGCGCAAACTGCCCGGGAAGGAAAACCAGCACTGTACAGACCTGAACAACAAAGATGGCATATTTTGTTCAGGGAATGGTGAATTAAGTGTGGCAGGAATGCTTTGTAGACACAGTAATTTGCTTGTATGGAATTTTGCCTGAGAGACCTCATTGCAGTTTCTGATTTTTTGATGTCATCATCCATCACTGTCCTTGTCAAATAGTTTGGAATAGGTATAATGATCACAATAACCCCAAGCGTAATATTTCGTTAATTCTCACAGAATCACAGGTAGGTGTCACAGTTATCCCCATTTTATGAATGGAGTGATGAAGCCTTAGGAATAATGAAAGATTTGCCCAAGCTCACCTGGATATTAAGACTGAGTCAAATGTTGGGTTTGGTCTGATTTTAATGTTTGCTTTGTTCATGAGCACCACATATTGCCTCTCCTATGCAGTTAAGCAGGTAGGTGACAGAAAAGCCCATGTTTGTCTCTACTCACACACTTCCGACTGAATGTATGTATGGAGTTTCTACACCAAATTCTTCAGTGCTCTGGATATTAACTGGGTATCCCATGACTTTATTCTGACACTACCTGGAGTTAGCACAGACCCCACAAGTTAGGGGCTCAGTCCCATGAGGCCATCCTCACTTCAGATGCCAATGGCAAGTCCTAAGTTGTCACCATACTTTTGACCAACCTGTTACCAATCGGGGGTTCCCATAACTGTCTTCTTGGGTTTAATAATTTGCTAGAACAGTTTACGGAACTCAGAAAAACAGTTTATTTTCTTTTTTTCTGAGAGAGAGGGTCTTATTTTGTTGCCCAGGCTGGTGTGCAATGGTGCAGTCATAGGTCATTGCAGCCTTGATTGTCTGGGCTCCAGTGGTTCTCCCACCTCAGCCTCCCTAGTAGCTGAGACTACATGCCTGCACCACCACATCTGGCTAGTTTATTTTTTGTATAGATGGGGTCTTGTTGTGTTGGCCAGGCTGGCCACAAATTCCTGGTCTCAAGTGATCCTCCCACCTCAGCCTCTGAAAGTGCTGGGATTACAGATGTGAGCTACCACATCTGGCCAGTTCATTTCTTATTACTGGTTCATTGTGAAGGATACATCTCAGAAACAGTCAATGAAAGAGACGTGCATGCTGGATGCAGTGGCTCATGCCTGTAATCTCAGCACTTTGGGAGGCCAAGGTGGGAGGATCGCTTAAACTCAAGAGTTTGAGACCAGCCTGGGCAACATGGTGAAAACCTGTCTCTATAAAAAATTAAAAAAAAAAAAAATAACCGGTGTGGTGGTGTGCACCTAGAGTTCCAACTACTAGGGAAGCTGAGATGAGAGGATACCTTGAGCTGGGGACTGGGGAGGCTTAGGTTACAGTAAGCTGAGATTGTGCCACTGCACTCTAGCTTGGACAAAAGAGCCTGATCCTGTCTCAAAAAAAAGAAAGATACTCAGGGCAAGTTAAGTTCGGAGGGGCACAGAGCTCCCATGCCCTCTGTTGAACATGCGGACCCTCCCAGCATCTCCTGTGTCCAGCAACCCTGAAAGCTCTGCAAACCCCGTTCAGGGTGTTTATGGAGGCTTTATTATGCAAGCATGATTGATAAAATCTTTGGCTGTTGGTGATTAAGTCAGTCTCCAGCCCCTCTTCCTCCTGGAGTTCAGTGCATGAGGCTGAAAGTCCCAAGCCTCTTACCATGTGGTTGCATGGTAATCAGCCCTCCTCTTGAAGAAATTTAGGAGCTTGCAGTCACCCAGTCATCTCAACAACATCCCCAAATGCATTCTTACCATGTTGGAGATCCCAAAGTTCTTAGAGGCTCTTGTGTTAGAAACCTGGGACCAAGACCAAATATTAAAACAAAAGATGTTCCTGTCACATCTATCACTGAGGTCTTTGTAAGAGCTTTAGAAGCTCTATGCCATGAACCAGGGACAGAGATTAAATATATGTTTCTTTTCTTTTTTTTGAGACAGAATCTTCTGTGTCATCCAGGCTGGAGTGCAGTGATGTGATCATAGCTCACTATAGCTTTGGCCTCCTGAGATCAAGCAATCCTCCCATCTCAACCTCCCAAGTAGCTAGGACTACACATGCATGTCACCCATGCCCAGCTCATTTTTGTAGAGTCAGAGTTTCGCCATGGTGGCCAGGTTGGCCATGTTGGCCAGATGGGGTCTTCTTTTGTTGCCCAGGCTGGCCACAAATTCCTGGGCTCAAGTGATCCTCCCACCTCGTCCTTGTAGAGATAAGATTTAGTTATGTTGTCCAGGCTGATCTCAAACTCCTGGGCTAAATCGATTGTCTCACCTCAGCCTCTTAAGTAGCTGGGACTACAGGCGCATACCACCATGTCGGGCTAATATTTATTTTTATTTTTTTCTAGAGGTGGGGGTCTCACTGTATTTTTCATGCTAGTTTCAAACTTTGGGCCTCAAGTGATCCTCCTGCCTTGACCTCCCAAAGTGTTGGGATTCTGGGTGGGAGCCACCATGCCCAGCAATCACAAGGGTCTTTATAAAAGAAAGAGAGTAGGAGATTCAGAATTGGAGCAGGAGATGTGGTGATGAAAGCAGAGGTAAGAGAGGGAGATTTGAAGATGCTTCACCTCTGGCTTTGAAGATGGAATCAGGGGCCGTGATCCAAGGAATGGGGGGTGGCTTCTAGAAGCTGGAAAAGCCAAGGGAACATATTAGAGTCTCCAGAAGGAATGCAGCCCTGCTGACACCTTGACTTTAGCCTTAATAGACCTAGTTTGGGTGTCTGGCCCCTAGAACTGTAAGATGGTAGATTTGTGGTGTTTTAAGCCACTAAATATAGGAAACTGCAAACTACGTTGCAGCAGCAAGAAGAAATGAACATGAAGCCAGGCATGATGGCTCATGCCGGTAATCCCAGCACTTTAGGAATTTAGGCAGGAGGATCACTTGAGGCCAGGAGTTCAAGACCAGTCTGGGCAACATAGTAAGACCTTGTCTCTACAAAAAATGAAAAAATTGGCCAGGTGTGGTGGCTCACACCTGTAATTCCAGCACTTTGGGAGGCTTAAGCGGTCAGATTACCTGAGGTCAGGAGTTTGAGACCAGCCTGGCCAACATTGTGAAACCCCGGCTCTACTAAAAATACAAAAATTAGCTGGGCGTGGTGGCACGCACCTGTAATCCCAGCTACTTGGAAGGCTGAGGCAGTAGAATCACTTGAATCTGGGAGGTGGAGGTTGCAGTGAGCCGGGATCGCACCGTTACACTACAGCCTGGGCAAGAAGAGTGAAACTCTGTCTCAAAATAAAATAAAATAAAATACTAAAAAATTTAGCCAGGCATGGTGGCATGAACCTGGAGTCCCCGGTACTCGGGAGGCTGAGGTGGGAGGATCGCTTGAGCCTGGAAATTTGAGGTTGCAGTGAGCTGTGATTTCGCTACTGCACTCCAGCCTTGGTGACAGTGAGATCTTGAAAAAAAGAAAGAAGAAAGTAAAGAAAGAAGAAATGAGCATGGTGGGCATGGGGACAGATGGCAATGTTAAATAGAATGGTCAGGGGTGGCCTAAGTGAAAATTGAGTAAAGACTTGAAGGAGGGGAAGGAGGTGGCCAAGGTGCTGAGGGAAGAGGATTGTAGGCAGAAACAATAGAATAAACTGTCTGAGGTGTGTCTCCGGCTCTGGAAGGAGGCCCATGGAGCAGATGGAGAGAGGGAGAGAATTAGGGGAGGGAGCCAGGGAGTTGCTGGGTGGGGATCAGTACAGATCACATAAGCCCTGGGAGGTTATTGGTGGGGCTTTGGCTTTTACTCTGACTCAGATGGGAACTGCGGGAGGGTTCTGAGCAGAGAGGTGACATCATCTGTCTCCCGATTTAAAAGTATTCTCTGGCTGCTGAGTTGAGAAAGACTGTGGGAAGATGTGATAGAAGCATGGGGGCCAAGCTTTGGCAACATCCAGGCGGGAGATGATGGTGGTCCTGACCAGGGTCGTGGTGGTGTTGAGAGATGGTCAGAGGGGAGAAGTAGGGGAGGAGGCCAGGGAGTTGCTGGGTGGGGATCTTTAGTAGATGTCGAAGACAATCAACAGGATTTCCTGACAGACTGGATATGGGGTGTGAGAGAAGGCAGGGGTCAAGGTTGAGTTTGATTGTTACTGAAATTATTAAGTAATTTTAAAAAACACTACTGCCTTTCCCAATCCTACCAAGTATGGGATGCTAGATTAAAGAAATCTCTTCAGGCTCATTGCAATGGCTCATGCCTGTAGTACCAGCTGTTTGGTAAGCAGAGGTGCGAGTATCTTTTAAGGGCAGGTGTTCAAGACCAGCCTGGACAACACAGCAAGATCTGCTCTTTACAAAAATATTTTTCAAAATTAAATAAATGTAGCTAGGCATGGTGATGTGTACTTGTAGTTTCAGCTACTCAGGAGGCTGAAGTGGGCAGATCTCTTGAGGTCAGGAGTTTGAGGCCAGTTTGGGCAACATAGCAAGACCCCTCACTCTACAAAAAAATTAAAAAAACCAGGCATGGTGATACTCAACTGTACTACCAGCTACTGGGGAGCTGAGGCAGGAAGATGGCTTGAGCCCAGGAGGTCGAGGCTGCAGCGAGCTGTAAGTGCACAGCTGCACTCCAGTCTGGGTGACAGAGCAGGACCTGTCTCACAATACAAATAAAAATACAAGTAAAATAATACCTCAAGTCAGAGCCTTTTGGCTCTGCAGCCCTTGCAACCCCTCAGCCGTGCAGTGGGGTTTGCGTTGCTGGGAATGAGGAGACCCCTGCCCGGTGTTGTTGCCTGACTAATCAGTGTTTTAAAACATATATTAATCGGGGTGGGCGCGGTGGCTCACACCTGTAATCCCAGCACTTAGGGAGACCCAGGCAGGTGGATCACCTGAGGTCAAGAGTTCAAGACCAGCCTTGCCAACATGGCGAAACTCCTTCTCTACTAAGAAAATACAATAATTAGCTGGACATGGTAGTGGGCGCCTGTAATCCCAGCTACTTGGGAGGCTGAGGTAGGAGAATCGCTTGAACCTGTGGGGCGGAGGTTGCAATGAGCTGAGATTGAGCCACTTCACTCCAGCCTGGGCAAAAGAACAAGACTTTGTCTCAAAGAAAAAAAAAAAGTATTATATCAACATGTAATGGTTTTATTATTAATATGTAATGAATACTAAATATTTTTAAAATTTTATATCAACATGTAATGGCTTTAATATGTGATGAATAATATTTTAAAAATTGTGTCTTATTTTCTGGTTTTAATATAATTATCTACAGAAAGAGTCTTAGAGATCTTCAATAAAGTTAAAAAAGGTAAAGGGATGTTAGACCCCAAAAGATTGAGAATTTCTAGTTTAGAAATATTCAGAGTAAGCCACATACAACTTGCTACTTGAACTATTTTTTTTCTTTGTTTTTTATTTTAGGAGATGGGGTCTCACCCTGTCACCCAGGCTTGAGTACAATAGTGCTATCACAGCTCACTGCAGCCTTGAACTCCTGGGCTAAGGATCCTCCTACCTGAGCCTCCTGAATAGCTAGGACTGTAGGTATACATGACGATACTTGGCTAATTTTTAAATTGTTTTGTAGACATGGGGTCTCACTTTGTTGGCCAGGCTGGTGTCAAACTAATGGCCTCAAGTGACCCTTCCACCCCTGCCTCCCATCCTAGAGGTATGTGCCACCACAAGGAGCACTTGTTCAATTTTCTAAAGAAAAAATTTCTAAAGTAAGGCTGTGGGATGATGGCAGGAAGATAAAAGAAAAACAGAAGAATAAGTTAAAATGACTTATTCACACATATTCTTTTGACAGCAAGAAGAACTTTTAGTATATACATTCCTTACAAACAAACAAAAGGCAGATAAACAATGTTGTGTAGGAACTTCAACACACACTGTACAATATTCCCACTTTGCTGACATAAGTTATGGAAATTTCGTGGTTTACTTGAGTGTCGCTACCAGTATTTTGCTTCTCTGATGATTTTTATCAACTTCCTCATCTGTTAACTTCTCTCCAAGGTATGTCATGTCACGACATACTGCCGCTGCACGAACATGGCCAGTGTCTTCCTATTAAACATGTAGAATGCTTTCCTAATTTCTCTTTTTACTCTCTGTCTTTGTGTTTTGCATTTTCCTTACTTTTATTGTCGGAAACTCCAGAAAGTCAATCGTACTAATTTATCACGATTTGCTTTATTAATTTATACTTTGGTTATATGGAATTTTGCCCAACAGACCTCATTACAGTTTCTAACCTGTTTTATTTTGTTTTTTTTTTTCTGAGACAGGGTCTCCCTCTGTTGTCCAAGGCTGGAGTGTAGTAGTGCTATCGCAGCTGACTGCAGCCTCAACCTTCCAGGCTGAAGCGATCCTCCCATCTCAACCTCCCACGTGGCTGAGACTACAGGTGCTTGCCACTATGCCCAACTAATATTTGGAATTTTCGTATACGTGGATTCCAGAGGGGTGACAGCAAAACGTGAGTAAGCATGGATTTTGGTATATGCAGAGATGGGGGGCTGGAACTAATTCTGTATACTGAGGGACGGCGACTGTATATGTTTTTACAATTACGCTGTAGGATACATACTGTTGCATAGCCTTGAAAATAATAATTTTTAATTGAGTGGAATAATAATATTGATAAAAGTAGCAGCTGGCCAGGTGTGGTGGCTCACACTGGTAATCGCAACACTTTGGGAGGCTGAGGCAGGAGGATGGCTTGAGGCCAAGAGTTTGCGATAGGCCTTGGAAACAAAGAGGGAGTCACCATCCCTACAGAAAAATACATGAATTAGCCTAGTGTGGTGGCATGTTCCTGTAGTCCCAGCTACTTGGGAGGCTGAGGTGGGAACATCACTTGACCCCAGGGAGGCTGAGACTGCAGTGAGTCATGATCAGGCCTCTGCACTCCAGCCTGGGTGACAGAGTGAGACCCTGTCTGAAAACAACAAAAAAGTAGCAGCTAACATCAACTGACCTTTTATACCAGGTGCCTATTGATATCATAGTTTAATTTCTTATAACTGCTTCTTATTTCACTTACCAACTCTGTCTTCAGTTACTCCCAGATTTTTACTGTGTTTGTACAGATGACCTTTTGTTTAGATTGAATTGTCTCCCCAGAAGTAAGATTACTGTGAGACATGGTGAATGGACATTCTCATTACCCTTGATGTAAATTGACAGGGTTTTGGGTGCCTCCCAGCTATAATCTTAGCACTTTGGGAGGCTAAGAGAGGAGGATTGCTTGAGGCCAAGAGTTGGAGGAGGCTGTATGGCAGTATGGTGAGACCCTGTCTCCATTATTTTAAAAAATTGACAAGCTTTACCCGGGAAGGCTTATACACAATTTAAACACCCCTCATAGTATAAGAGAGTGCCCATTTCACTGCACCTTTGCCAGCACAGGGTATTATAATTTAGTAAGTCATTTTTTGTTTGATTATTTTAAATAGATAAAAGACCTCATATTACTTTACTTGTCTCATTTCAACATCTTTCCTTAGCTTATTAGCTGTATTTCTTTTCTGTCTGTAAATGATTGTTGTTTTGTTCTTTGAGACAGGGTCTTGCTCTGTCACCAGGCTGGACTGTAGTGGCATAATCATACCTCACTGCAGCCTTGACCTCCCAGGCTCAAACTTCAGCATTCTGAGTAGCTGGGACTACAAGTGTGCACCACCACTCCCAGCTAACTTTTTTCTTTTTTTTGGATAGAGACAGGGTCTCACTGTGTTGTCCAGACCGGTCTCTAGCTCCTGGCCTTAAGCAATCCTCCTGCATTAGCTTCTCAAATTGCTGGAATTTCAGGCATGAGCCACCATGCCTGGCCTGGGCTAGTCCTGTATTCTCTAGAGTTTTCTTTACTTTGTGCTAGCCAATCTCTCATTATGCTGTTCACCTGTTCTAATGAATAATTCTCCATATTAAATTTTACCACTTTAAACTCTTGAGTGTTTTATGCTTCCTGATTGGACTCTGACTAATATGTTAGGAAGGGTCCCAGGAGATAAACCCACACATGGGATTTGGGCATAGGTTTGGTTTCCCAGGGGGCAGTGCTGAGCTCTTTGCCAGTGGGAAATGGGATGCTGGTGATTTCCAGGAAGTGACCTCACAGTGACTCAAGCTACCACTTACTGTTGATTGTGATGAAATGCCAGCTGAGGCACATGCCTTGGGAGCTAAGTGGTTGCTGCCCTTGACCACTATGAAGACTGGTGTGGGAAGGGTCGCTTTGGATGCACTTGAGCAGGGGTCCCCAACCCCTGAGCCATGGAGCCGTAAGGAGCCACACAGCAGGAGGTGAGTGGTGTCGAGTGAGGGAGTGAGGAAAGCTTCGTCTGTATTTACAGCCACTCCCCTTTGCTCACATTCCCGCCTGAGCTCCACCTTCTCAGATCAGCAGCAGCATTAGATTCTCATAGGAGAACGCACCCTGTTGTGAACTGTGCATGTGAGGGATCTAGGTTGTGCTGTCCTTATGAGAATCTAATACCTATTGATCTGTCACTTTCTCCCATCACGCTCAGGTGGGACCATCCAGTTGCAGGAAAACAAGCTTAACATGCCCACTGATTCTACATTATGGTGAGTTCTATAATTATTTTATTATATATTACAGTGTAATAATGGAAATAAAGTGCCTAATAAATGTAAACGTGCTTAAATCTTTTGGCCCAGCTCCTACCTCCCGGCAGCATCTCCAGGCCCAGAACTTTCTCCAGTCAGCCTCTACAGACCAAGCTCATGACTCACAATGGCCTATTTAGGCCCATACCCTACCTCACGGCAGTCTCCGCAGATGAGCCTACTGCCTCACAACAGCCTCCACAGGCACAGCTCCGTCGTTACAATGGCCTCTTTAGACCCAGCTCCTGCCTCCCAGCCTTCTCTCCAGGCCCTGAACTTTCTCAAGTCGACCTCACCAGGCCCAGCTCATGCTTCTTTGCAGCCTCTCCAGGCCCAGCTCCTGCATCTTGGTGACCCCTCCAGGCACAGCCTCTGCCTCCCGTCGGCCTCTACAGTCCCAACATCTGCCTCACAGCAGATTCTTCAGGCCCAGCATCTGCCTCACTGTGGACCCCCCAAGCCAAGCTCCCAACCTTTCAGCAGCTTCTACACACCCAGCTCCTGCCACCCAGTGGCCTCTTTAGGCCAAGCTCATGCTTCACAAGGGTCTTTCCAGGCCCAATTTTTGTCTCATGGCAACCTTCCCTGGCCAGATTCCTGCCTGTCTCCCAGCAGCCTAGACAGGCCCAGGTCTTGCCTCACACTGGCCTCTCTACATCCAGCTCATGCCTCACGGTGGCCTCTCCAGGCTCAACTCCTGTCCCAGGACGTCATCTCCGGGCCCAAAACTTAAAGTCAGACTCTCTAGTCCCAACTGCTGCCTCCTGGTGGATTATGAAGGCCCAAAATCTCCTCAAGTTGACCTCTACAGGCCCAGCTCCTGCCTCCTGTCAGCGTCTACAGGCCCAACCTCTGCCTTATGGGGGCTTCTCCAGGCCCACCTCTTCCTCTTGGCTGGGTCTACAGGCACAACTGCTGCCTCACAACAGCCTTTTTTGGCCCAGTTCCTGCCCAGCTCCCAGCGGCCCTGGTAGACCCACAACTTCCCGAAGCCAAGCTCCCCAGGCCCAGGTCAGGCCTCACGGTGGCCTCTCCAAGCTCAGCTCCTGCCCTCCAATGGCATCTGCAGGCCCCAAATGGTCTCCAGTCGGTGGGCTCCTCCACGCCAAGCTTGGGCCTCTTGGCGACCTCTGCAGGCCCAAGTTGTCCTGAAGTCGGCCTCTCCCGGCCCTGCCTCCCAGCAAGTAAGCAAGCTCTTTTGGCTCAACTACTGCCGAGCTCCCAACCGCCTTTCTAGGCCCCGAACTTTCTCCAGCCAAGCTCTTCGGGCCTACTTCCTGCCTCCCGGTGGCCTGTACAGGCCCAGCACTGGTTGGAGAACAGCCTCTGCAGGCCCCACTCTTGCCTCCCAGGGGCCTCTCCAGGCCCAGCTCTTGCCCCCACGGCGGCCTCCCGGGGCCAAGTCCCTGCCTGCCTCCCAGCAGCCCGCATGCGGCCCAGCTCCTTCTCACAGTGGCCTGTTGATGCCCAACTCATGCCTCTGGCACCCTGCCCAGAGACATGAGCCCCTGCCTCTCACTGGCTCCTCCCACGCTGAGACAGGTCAGCGTGAGCCCTTGCCTCACACCGGCCCCTCCCACGCTGAGAGGTCAGCATGAGCCCCTTGCCTCACACCGGCCCCTCCCACACTGAGAGAGGTCAGCGTGAGCCCTTGCCTCACACCGGCCCTCTCCCACGCTGAGAGAGGTCAGCGTGAGCCCTTGCCTCACACCGGCCCCTCCCACGCTGAGAGAGGTCAGCGTGAGCCCTTGCCTTACACCGGCCCCTCCCACGCTGACAGAGGTCAGCCTGAGCCCCTTGCCTCACACCGGCCCCTCCCACGCTGACAGAGGTCAGCCTGAGCCCCTTGCGTCACACCGGCCCCTCCCTCGCTGACAGAGGTCAGCGTGAGCCCCTAGCCTCACACCGGCCCCTCCCAGGCTGACAGAGGTCAGCGTGAGCCCCTTGCCTCACACCGGCCCCTCCCACGCTGACAGAAGTCAGCCTGAGCCCCTTGCCTCACACCGGCCCCTCCCTCGCTGACAGAAGTCAGCGTGAGCCCCTTGCCTCACACCGGCCCCTCCCACGCTGACAGAGGTCAGCGGGAGCCCCTTGCCTCACACCGGCCCCTCCCACGCTGACAGAGGTCAGCCTGAGCCCCTTGCCTCACACCGGCCCCTCCCACGCTGACAGAGGTCAGCCTGAGCCCCTTGCGTCACACCGGCCCCTCCCACGCTGACAGAGGTCAGCCTGAGCCCCTTGCCTCACACCGGCCCCTCCCACGCTGACAGAGGTCAGCAGGAGCCCCTAGCCTCACACCGGCCCCTCCCACGCTGACAGAGGTCAGCAGGAGCCCCTTGCCTCACACCGGCTCCTCCCACGCTGACAGAGGTCAGCCTGAGCCCCTTGCCTCACACCGGCCCCTCCCACGCTGACAGAGGTCAGCGGGAGCCCCTTGCCTCACACCGGCCCCTCCCAGGCTGACAGAGGTCCGCGGGAGCCCCTAGCCTCACACCGGCCCCTCCGACACTGACAGAGGTCCGCGGGAGCCCCTTGCCTCACACCGGCCCCTCCCATGCTGACAGAGGTCAGCGTGAGCCCCTTGCCTCACACCGGCCCCTCCCACGCTGACAGAGGTCAGCCTGAGCCCCTTGCCTCACACCGGCCCCTCCCACGCTGACAGGTCAGCCTCAGCTCCTAGCCTCACACCGGCCCCTCCCAGGCTGACAGAGGTCCGCGGGAGCCCCTAGCCTCACACCGGCCCCTCCCACGCTGAGAGAGGTCAACGTGAGCCCCTTGCCTCACACCGGCCCCTCCCACGCTGACAGAGGTCAGCGGGAGCCCCTAGCCTCACGCCAGCCCCTCCCACGCTGACAGAGGTCAGCGGGAGCCCCTTGCCTCACACCGGCCCCTTCCACGCTGAGAGACGTCAGCGTGAGCCCTTGCCTCACATCGGCCCCTTCCACGCTGAGAGAGGTCAGCGTGAGCCCCTGCCTCAACAGGCCACCGTGAGGGAGGAGCAGGCTTGCACGCGGGCTGCTGGGAGGCAGGCAGGGACTTGGGCCTGGGAGGTCACAGTGGGGCGAGAGCTGGGCCTGGAGACACCCCTGGGAGGCAACAGCGGGGCCTGCAGATGCTCTTCTCCAGCCGGAGCTGGGACTGTTCAGGCTACTGGTGGCGGGATGTGGGCCTGAGAGCTTGGTTGCAGAAACTTCGGGGTCTACAAAGGCCGGCGGGAGCTGAGCCAAAAGAGCTTGTTTGCTGGGAGGCAGGAGCTGGGCCGGGAGATGCAGCCAGGAGGAACAGCTGGGCCTGAAGAGGCCCCCATGTGGGAGGCAGAGGCCGGGCCTCCTCAAGTCGGCCTCTCCAGACCCACTTGCAGCCTCCCAGCGTCCTCTCCGGGCCCAGCTCTTCCTCCCGGCTGCGTCTCCAGGCCCGACTCTGGCCTCCCAACAACGTCTTTGGACTCAGCTCCTGCCCAGCTCCCAGCGGCCCTGGTAGACCCACAACTTCCTGAAGCCAAGCTCCCCAGGCCCAGCTCAGGCCTCACGGTGGCCTCTCCAGGCTCAGCTCCTGCCCTCCGATGGCATCTGCAGGCCCCAAATGGCCTCCGGTCGGTGGGCTCCTCTAGGCCCAGCTTGGGCCTCCCGGCGGCCTCTGCAGGCCCAAAACGTCCCGAAGTTGGCCTCTCCAGGCCCAGCTCCGGCCTCCTGGCGGCCTTTGCAGGCCCAAGTCGTCCTCAAGTCGGCCTGGAATTAGGCCTGGAAGAGCAGCAAGTCAGCCTCTCCGGGCCCAGCTCCATCCTCTCGGCGGCCTCTCCAGGTGCAAAACTTCCTCGAGTCAGCCTCTCCAGGCCCAGCTCCTCCTGCCTCCCAGTGGCCTCTTTCAGCCCAGCCCAGCCCAGCTCATGGCTCTCGGCAGCCTTCCCAGGCCCCGCTTTTGACTTTTGGCGGCCTCTTCAGGCCCAGAACTTGCCCTCCAGTGGACCTTTGCAGGCCCGGCCTCGGCCTCGGCCTCACAGCGGACTCTCCACGCCCAGCTAGCTCTCACCTCACTGCGGCCTCCCCAGTCCAAAGCTCCTGCCTTTCGGCCGCTTCGGCAGGTCCAGCTCCTGCCTGCCAGTGGCCTCTTTAGGCCCAGCTCATTCCTCACAATGGTCTTCCCAGGCCCCGTTTTTCCCTTCTGGCAGCCTCTTGGCCTCTAATTTGTTTATCTTTTGTGTATAAATCCCAAAATATGGAATTTTGGAATATTTCCACCATTATATGAATATTTTGGTAGGTAATTTATTTGGAGTTAGTTTCTGCACCATGCCCGAATTTTTTATTTTATTTTCCTTATTATTTGGTGTTAAACAGATTTAATGACGGTCATGGCAACTTTTTGGCACAATGAAAAATATCGCCCATGATTAATGTGTTCTGTTCTGGGGAAGGGGGCAAAGGCAGGGTGAATCACTTTCTTAAAAAGTATAGCTCAAGTTGGGAGTGCAGAGGGAATGGGGAGAAAACCCTCCCGCTGCCTGTGTCGAAGTGCAGGAGCCCCCACCCCCATACTCACCTGAGTCCAGCCCCTCTGGGGAAAGAAGGGGTGCATGAACTCCCCCTAGTCCACAGGCGCCTCCATGTGGCCCAAGGCCCTCTTCACACTCCATCTTGTAGCCCCAGCAGGAGCTATTTTCCGAAAAGTGAAAAGCTCTGAAGGTCCCACAATTCATGGTATGTACAGGGGCTCAGAGGAGGGAAACTGCCCAGTTTTCCCCCGGCACAGCTGCAGGGGTAGGGGGTATAGATAAGAGGAGCAGGCCTTGGCCAGGCGTGGTGGCTCACGCCTGTAATCCCAACACTTTGGGAGGTGGAGGCAGGTGGATCACGATGTCAGGAGATCGAAATCAGCCTGGCCAAGATGATGAAGCCCCGTCTGTACTAAAAATACAAAAATTAGCCGGACGTGGTAGCGTGCACCTGTAATCCTAGCTACCCGGAAGGCTGAGGCAGGAGAATGGCGTGAACCCGGCGGGAAGAGGTTGCAGTGAGCCAAGATCGCACCACTGCACTCCAGCCTGGGCGACAGAGCAAGACTCGGTCTCAAAAAAAAAAAAAAAAAGAGGCAGGCCTTATTCCGTCCTAAACTCTTTACCTGGGAGAAGATAACCATCCTGCCCTCCATTGCTACCCCCACATACTGTCCATGTTCTCAGGGGGTACTGTGAGTCCTGGGATCTTCTTTCGGGTCAGCCACGTGCCTGTGGTAGTTATGGAGACCCCCAGGTGTTGAGGCAGGGCTGGGGTGTCCCCTTCCAACCAGGCTGTCAAGGCCCCAACTCTGGGGCAGAGGCAGTGGCAGGGCAGCCAGGGTTGCCCCAGAGCCTGAGCAGGGTGAGGTGGGGTCAGGCAGGGCTGGGAGTCAGGGCAGGGGCAGCAGCAGTGGACCCGCTATGCACACATCATCTTCTCCAAGGTTTGTGTGCAGAATATCCTGCCCATGCTGCCCCAGCAGCTTCAGTTGGCACCTGCCCCAGTCCAGCCTCTGGGAACCATGCAGTGGCTCCCAGCGGCCCTGCAGCCACCACCAGCATCCGTTTCACCTGCAGTTGAAGATCCGTGAGGTGCCCAGAAGATCATGCAGTCATCAGTCCCACGGAGCAGCCCGCGAGGCTGAGGCTCCTCCCACTGGACCGCCCCCCAACTGGCACCACTGCTGCCCCTGCCCCTACTCTCAGCCTCATGTGACTCTCGGGCAGAGACAGTGGTGGGGCAGCCACGGCAGCGTCAAAAGTCTGAGCCAGGTGAGGTCCGGTCAGGACCCCCACAGGGCTGGGAGTCAGGGCAGGGGCAGAACAAACCTTGGAGTGGAAGATGTGTGCATAGTGGGCCTGGAGGGTGGCTGTGGCCTAGTGGACAGGAAGAAGCAGTGGGCCTGGAAGAGCTGCATGATCAGGGCCGGCACTGGTCCAGGGCGCGTGCAGTGAAGAGGACAGTGCCTTCTCGGTCTCCGGTTCCCTGAGCCTGTCCTCGGCTTCTCCACCTGTACAGGCAAAGGGGAAGCTGTCCCCATCACACATGGCACACTTGGGGGTGTTGGGCTTTGGGCTGCAGCTGGAGCATCTTCTCATCTTGCGTTTGGGCGTGGTGGGGTCTTCCAGTGTGGGATCCATGTCCGTGGGGTTCCCTCTGCCCCGACCCCGAAAGACCAGTCAGTTTCTCTTCAGGATCTGCCCCCCGGGTGGCTCAGCCCAGCTCCTGCCTAGGAAAGCCTTAGTGTTGGGAGGGACCCTGATGACTGAGGAGCCTGGTAGCTCCAGGTCGCCCACACTTTCAGGTCTCTTGCACCAGAAGGTGGCGGGATCCATTGGGAGGAAACAGGTCGCCTTGGAAGGCATCCCTGGGCCCCCATCCCCAGGGGTAGGGGCCGTAGGGGGCCCACTCTGCTGCCTTGACCAGACTCCTGGGCTTCGAAGGCTCCCGGGCCCAGTAAGAAGGAGGTGGGTGCCAAGGTTGAGGAGGAAGCATCCGAGTATGTGTAGGAGGAGGACAGGGTGGGACCATAGACTTTGCCAAAAGCTGCAGGTGGATCGGGGGACCCTGGGGGCTCAGGATCCAGCAAGGGGCAGCAGGAGTAAAGGAGGAAGGAATGACAGGTGCAAATACCTTCCCACCAAAGCCCTTGTTGCCCTGTGGCTCCTCCCCAGAGTTGTCCCCACTCTGTCGGTCACTCACTCCTTGAACTTGAGATCGGTGTCAGTGGTGCTAAAGCCATCATCAGCAATGACATCATCACCCCCTCCTCCTCATGGATGATCGTGTGCGCCTCATCACTCGCTATGTCCTCACTGGCCATGTGCTGGGAATGAGCAGCTCAGGTGGGCAGCAGCAGGGCTGCCCACTGGTCACCTCCCTCACCAGGGGCTGCAAAGTGGCCTGGAGCTCCATACTGAGTAGAAGGCTTTGGGCCAGAGTATGATGCATTGCCAGACACCACCTGTGTCAGTTCCTGTAGTGCCTGATGATCTATTTCCCTGCCATCCAGGCTGTGTACCCCCCTGTGGGAGAAGGCTTGGGCCAGGCTGAGCTAGGTTCCCTGACTGTGTGCAGCCGTTCTGCCCCACAGAAGCTGCTCCTTGGTATCCGAGCTCTGGAGTGTTTGGGCTGCAACTGACAGGAATTCAGAGGACACCCCAGGGGCAGTGGCAGTGCCCGTCTCTGATATGCTCCACTCCCACGAGCCCTTGTTACACTCCTGCTAGCCCCTGGCTTGTGAGCTTGGCCTCTGAGCTGGACTTCTTTCGGTCCTTGTTGCAAGTGGGCCACCTTCACCTGGAAGGCCAGGTCGTGGTATTTCTGTGTCTCATTGGGCCCCAGGGTGTACCACCACTCGTTCAGCATCTGGCTGACAGTCCGGTTATCCTGGTTGGGGTGACCCTGGTGTGCCCTGCCAGGGCCTGGTGCCGCTTGCTGAAGATCATGACCGCCACTCATGGGCCACTGGATGTGGTCCTTGTCCCATTTGTTGGGGCTGCGTCCATCCTTCTCAGAAGATGAGTCCTGTTCCTTGCGCAGGGCACTGAGGGACTGGGCCTGACATCATCTGAGTGGTAGAGGCAACTGGGTGTCAGGAGACATGATGGAGAGGAAAGCATCATCATGGTCATTCTCTGTCTCACTGTACAGCAGGGACTCCCCTGAGGGGCCCAGGGCTCCTCCTCCATGGTGGGAGGTGAGCTTTTACCAGGTTCCACCACCCCCAAAATGTGTGGGGTTGCGGGCCCTGGGCTTTCAGGGCAGGTGGCTCCAGGGAGCCACCCAGGGTCAACACTCCCCGTCCCACCTGGTGGATGCTCATGAGCAACAGCTGCCAACTTGGCAGGTTGTTTTCTCTGGTTGGAGGCCACTGAGTGACTGGCAGGTTGCTGGGCCTCGTGTGGCTGCAGGGAGGGGTCAGGAAGGGGATGGAGTACCAGGGGAACACGGCCACAGAGTGACCTTCCACATTCCTCCACACAAACATGCTGAGGCCACGGGAGGCCTCACTGAACGCAGGCCTGGGGGCCGAGTACTTGGTCCGGGCAGGGGGTTCCTGGCAGGGGCTCACACCTCCTCGCCCCCTCCTCAGCCAAGGTGGCTTGGGCCCAGAGAAGGGGGGGTTGGAGAGGAGCAGAAGGCCAGGCCTCAAGTTTTATTTTTTTTTTGTTTTGTTTTTTGTTTTTGAAATGTAGTTTGACTCTTTTCACCCAGGCTGGAGTGCAGTGGCACGATCTCAGTGGCCTTCATACCTGGCTAGTTTTTTGTATTTTTACTGGAGGTGGGGTTTTGCCATGTTGGCCAGGCTGGTCTTGACCTCCCATCCTCAGGTGATCCACCCACCTCGGCCTCCCAAAATGGGATTACAGGCATGAGCCACCGCTCCCAACTTCATTCATTTTTACTTGAAAAACTCCGTTAAGCATTTTTTTAAGGTAGACCTAGTGGTCCTGAATGCCTTCAGCTTTGTTTGTCGAGGAAACACATTAGTTCTTCTTTCTTTCTGAAGGACAGCTTTGTCAGACATAGTATTAGTTGCTGGCAGTTTTTTTCTTTCAGCACTTTGAATGTATTATTCGATTCTGTCCTGACCTGCAAAGTTTCTTTAACTTTTGACTATTTGATTATATTGTGACTTGGTGAGTATCTATTTGGTTTGAACCTCTTTAGGAATCTTTAAGCTTCATGGATTTAGATGTCTAAATCTTTCCCATGATTTAGGCAGTTTTCAGCCATTCTTTAAATAAGCTTTCTTTTCCTTTGTCTACTTTCCTTCTCAAACTCCCATAACCTGACAATGGTTTGCCTAATGGTGTCTTGTTGGCTTTCTTTTCTCTGTCTTTTTTTTTCTTTTTTTTTTTTTTTGAGACAGAGTCGTGCTCTGTCACCCAGGCTGGAGTGCAATGTGTGGTCTCGGCTCACATTGCACTCCAACCTCCGCCTCCTGGGTTCAAGCGATTCTCCTGCCTCAGCCTCCCAAGTAGCTGGGACTACAGGTGTGTGCCACCACACCCGGCTAATTTTTGTATTTTTAGTAGAGATGGGGTTTTGTCATGTTGGCCAGGCTGGTCTTGAACTCCTGACCTCTTAATCTTCCTGCCTTGGCCTCCCAAAGTGTTGGGATTACAGGCTTGAGCCACCACGCCCAGCCTTCTTTTCTCTTTTTTATTCTTTTTTTCTTTGTCCTCTGACTGGATAATTTCAGAAGATCTATATTCAAGTTTACAGATTCTCTCTCCTGTTGAAGTTTACTATTGTGTTATATCACCCAGTCTGGTCTTGAACTCCTGGGCTCAAGCGATCCTCCCACCTTGGCCTCCCAAAGTGCTGAGTTTACAAGCATGAGCCACTGCATCCAGTCAGTCCCAGCACTTTGGGAAGCTGAGGTGGGAGGATCACTTGAGCTCAGGAGTTTGAGACCAGCCTGGGCAACATACTGAGAACTTGTCTCTATATTTAAAAAAAAAAAAGTCTTTGGGAGGCCAAAGCGGGAGGATCACCTGAGGTCAGGAGTTCGAGACCAGCCTGGCCAACATGGCAAAACCCCATCTCTACTAAAAATACAAAAATTAGCCAGGTGTGGTGGCACACGCCTGTAGTGGTGGTGCATGCCTGTAGTCTCAGCTACTCAAGAGGCTGAGGCAGGAGAATCACTTGAACTGGGAGATGGAGGTTGCAGTGAGCTGAGATTGCACCAGTGCACTCCAGCCTGGGCAACAGAGTGAGACTCCATCTTATAAAAGGAAAAAAGAAAAGAAAAATTCCATATCTGAATGTTTACTCCTGAGTTTTTGAGATTGCTATTAAGATCGTGCTCTACTGTGATGATTTGGGTTTGTTTGATAATCAGAAAAAAGCATATTCTTTTGGGTGTTCAGCCACACTGCTTTGGTGTCACAACTGCACATTGGTTTCAAGCTGGAGGACAAGTTCGAGCATCTTAAAATGATTCAACAGGAGGAGATAAGGAAGCTCGAGGAAGAGAAAAAACAACTGGAAGGAGAAATCATAGATTTTTATAAAATGAAAGCTGCCTCTGAAGCACTGCAGACTCAGCTGAGCACTGATACAAAGAAAGACAAACATCGTAAGAAGCAATAGTTTCTCTTACTATTCTGAGAGCCTTATCATTCTACATCCCATCTTCCTGTGAGATTGTCTTTGTAGCATTTAACTCTAATTGCAGTTCTCATTTTAAAAATTGGCTTGCTTATTGTATATTTTCCCCAACTAAAGCGTGAACTCCTAGCAGGGCGTGGTGGCTCATGCCTGTAATCTCAGCACTGTGGGAGGCCAAGATGGGTCGACTACCTGAGGTTAGGAGTTCGAGACCAGCCTGACCAACATGATGAAACGCTGTCTCTACTAAAAATACAAAAATTAGCTAGGCGTGGTGGCTGGGACCTGCAATCCCAGCTACTTGGGAGGCTGAGGCAGGAGAATCACTTGAACCCTGGAGGTGGAGGTTGCAGTGAGCAGAGATCTCACCATTACACTCCAGCCTGGGTGACAAGAGCAAAACTCCATCTCAAAAAAAAAAAAAAAAAGGGTGAACTTGAAGGCAGGTCCTGTGTCCATCTTTTCAGATTCTGTATCCCAGCACTTAGGACATAGACAAACACGAAGATGACAATCAATATTTGCCAAAATGAAAAAACAAAAGAAATATGTAACATCATGTAAAAGAAGATGGTTAGGTGGAGAAATTTCTTTACCATAGTCTTGCTTGTGGATCCAGTAGTGACTTTTACATTTTATATCTAAATAGAAGCTGGAGGCTTTGTTGGGACTCATAGGCATAAAATATTATGTTATTTATTATAGAGTTAAATGCTACAAAGACAAATCTAATTAATAGGCCTATTTTCCTTTTTAAATTCTACTCATAATTTCTTCATAGTTTTTATGATAAAAGGTTGGATTTTGATTAGAACTCCCATGCTTTTGTGTCAGAATTAAAACTGGTATTAGAATAAATAATTCAAAAGCTAGAGAAAGAGTACAATGAGAAGCCATGAGTTGCGTTTGAATTATAATATTATGTCTTACAGATTTGGGGTATATGCTAAAGTTACCAAAGTTGTAGAAAATAAGGCCGGGCATTGTGGCTCACATCTGTAATTCCAGCACTTTGGGAGGCCGAGGTGGGCAGATCATTTGAGGTCAGGAGTTCAAGACCAGCCTGGCCAACATGGTGAAACTCCGTCTGTACTAATAGTACAAAAATTAGCCAGGCGTGATGGTGTGCACCTGTAGTCCTTGCTACTCAGAAAGCTGAGGCAGGAGAATCGCTTGTACCCAGGAGGCAGAGGTTGCAGTGAGCAGAGATTGTGCCACTGCACTCCAGCCTGGGTGACAGAGTGCTATGAGTCACCACACCTGGTATGAGCCACTGTGCCTGGCCCACAATGACTTTTACACAAGTTGTTAAGTCATCTTACAGATTTTATAATTTGGGGGAAGAAAAGTTTTACTAAATGGTCTTTTAATGGAAACTCTACAAGAACCAGAATCTTTGCTTTGTTCACTTATGTATCTATTCCTAGGCCTAGAAAAATGTCTGACACATAGCGGCAATTATTCATTGAATAAATGGACCCAGCGATAGTACATTACCTATGCTATATGCATACATTAAAGATGTAGATTATCGACTTTCAAAAGATAATTAATGTAACTTCTTACTGCTTCTGAACATGTTTGTGAGTTATATTGCTGAGGGACCTTTATCTTCTCATTCTTTCATCTTAACCCAGTGTTATAAAATTGAAATCACCAATATTATTCCATATCTAAAATTAATATCTACCCTGTAAAAAATATCACTCTGCTGCATTTGAGAATAGACTTTTTAGGTAATAATGATGCAATCCATAGGGTTTTTTGGGGGCACAGAGGTATTCATGCTAACAGAACATTTTATTTTCTATTTTCCCAGAGCTGTAAAACATGAAATTAGGGTAGTATAAGGCATATTTTTACTCTTTTTATAATTTTTTCTAAAAAAAAATTAGTGTTTGTTCCCTATATAACTTTTAACTTTATAGGTAAATATTTGTCTCTTTCAGCTCCAGTTTTATGTGAAATAGAGTTTTCAGATTTATGTAGCATGGAAAGTTTTAATACGTCAGAGTTACTGATTTTTGCCTATCATTTTCTCAATTATTTCTTTTTTATCTTTAGTTGATTTTTTTGTAGTGACACATCTTGTTTCTAGTCTCATTTCCTTTTGTTTATATTCTATGTATATTTCATTTTTGGTTACTATGAGAATTACATATAACATCCTAGAGTTATAACATTTTAATTTGAATTTATTTCAACTTAAGTTCAATCACATACCAAAATTCTACTGCTATATATATAGCTCTACTCTTTTTATGTTATTGATGTAACAAATTATATCTTTATTCATTGTATACCAGCTAACAGATTTACAATTACATTTTATGCATTTGCCTTTTAAATTATGTAGAAAATAAAAAGCAGAGTTACAAACCAAAATTATAATAGGACTGTTTTTATATTTGTTTATGTATTTACCTTTACCAGAGAGCTTTGTATATTCATACAGCTTGCTTATTTATATAGTTATTGCCTAGAGTTCATTTATTTCAACCTGAAGGACTTAACACTTCTTGAATGGCAAATTCAGGGATAAATGGATTTTTTTTCAGTTTTAAAAAAAAATCCAGAAATGTCTTAATTTCTTCCTCATTTTTGAAGGATAAGTTTTCCAGCTATAGATTTCTCAATTGACAGGTTTCTTCATTATTTTAAATATATAATCCACTGCCTACTGGCCTTCAAGGTTTCTGCCGAGAAATCAGCTGCTAATGTTATCTGGATCCCTATCTGTGAGAGTTGCTCTTCTCTCTGAGTTTTCAACATTCTCCCATTATCTTTTTTTTGTTTGTGTTTGAGACAAGTATTTGTACATATTCATGGGATACAGAGTGATATTTTGATACATGTATACAATGTCCAATGATCAAATAAGGATAATTAGCATATCCATCACCTCAAATATTTGTCATTTATTTGTATTGTGAACAGTCAACATTCTTCTAGTTTTTTAAATTTATAAACATTTAAATTTTATTACAGAAATTTAAATTTTTTGATTCTGAAAAAGTCATATATGTATGCAACATCTTTTTATCATTTATTTATATATTTATGCATCTTTCCTTTTAGTTTTGACAGAGATTTTCTATTTTATCATTATTTCAAAAGAACTCTTACCTGTATTTATTTATCAATTATATTTCCCTTGTTTTTTCCTAGTATATTAATTTATTTACTTATCTTCTAAAAATCCTCCATATAATCTGTTTATTTTGTTTCCTTTCTATAATTTCTTCAATGATTAGTTCTGTTCTATTTTCCATTAAAATATTTAAATCTTGTATGAATTTTTGTCAGATTAGAAATTTAGGGCATTTCTTAATTTCTCTATATTCTAGTTTTGACTTTTTTTTTTCTTACCTAGGAGGTATTTAGAGCACATTTTAGATTTTTTATTTTGACTAATCATTTAAAATGTATACTAATCTTCAATTTAAATAAAAAACTGGCCTATAGTGACAAAAATTACAAATGAGCCTAACAAATTATCAGCTGTGTTTATATGTATAGGCATGCACAGATTTTAGTAAATATGTACATAGTATATTGGTGAGCTTATTTTTATCATTCTTAACTCATTGTGTAGTCTAAACATTGGGGAAAAAATAAAATACAATAATCAGATGGTGTGAATAAGAAAATTGTTCTACTGTTTGTAAACCAAGCAACTGTTTTAACTACTCCCCTCTTCCTGATTGACTTCTAAAAGGGATTAATCCATATTGGGTCCTATCATATATGTCACGGTATAACATCTCCAGCTATAAAATGGAAATTTGAGAATAACTTTGCTGCTACTCAGATACATTTTATTTCAGAAACATACACTAAGGTGTTGCTGTTGGATCTTTCCAAAAACATATTCACACAGAACTTTCAATCACACTGAGCCATATTTGAACAATCTTTCAAGGTCAGCTCTGGCATAAGCTAACATTATACCATTTAACTCAGAAATTTCTTTAGTGTTTGATTAATGGGTTTATGTTTGATATGTAATGTAATTTTCTAATGCTAAATCAAGTGGTAATTTTGTTAGTCAAGTTGATTTAGTGGCTTGGGAAGAAAGCTTTTAATGTTCCCCTAATTTTTCTTACCTTTGACATGATCCTTCACATGTCTTATTTTGCTTAGTGAGTTTTCTTTCTTTTTTTTTTTTTTTTGAGACAGGGTCTTACTCTACCACCCAGGCATGAGTGCAGTGGTGCGATCACAGCTCATTGCAGCCTTGACCTCCCAGACTCAAGCTATTCTTCCACCTCAGCCTCCCAAGTAGCTGGTACTACAGGCACATGCCACCAAACTTGGCTAATTTTTGTATTTTTTATAGAGACAGAGTTTTGCCAAATTCTCAGGCTGGTCTGGAATTTCTGGGCTCAAGTAATCCTGCCTTGGCCTCCCAACATGCTGATATTACAGACATAAGCCACAGTACCTGGCCAGTTTTCTTTTTTAAAAAATCTATTGGTTATTAATTTGAAGCCTTCCTTTTCATAGCTGTGCTCCTTAATTGGGAGCAAACATGAATGGACCACAACTGAGCCAATTTTCTATATACGATCTTTGCCATCCTAATTTAAAGGAATATTAATTCTTTCTTTTCCTCTTTCATTCCACAAACCTGTATTGACTACATCTAAGTTCTAAATGGTGCACTGGATGTTGAAAAAATTGATGATGAGCAAGAACAAAATTCCTCCTTTCAAGAGACTTACAGTTCAATATGGGAAATATAATTTTTTAAAATATAAAAGTGCAATTGTGTTACATGCTGTACGAAGTACATGTTGACATGTGAGCATATAATAAATGGGCTAGAGGCCAGAGGATTGCCAAAGAGAATGGGCCTCCTGCTGAGATGAAAAGTTGAGGAGGGATTAGTTGGTGAAAGTGGAGGGACGATCCTTTCTAGGCAGGAGGAAGAACATGCACAGAATCTCTGAGGTGTGATGCAACAAAGTCTATATAAAAAACTGAAGAAAGGTCTAATGTGGCTTAAATACAGAAGCTAGTAGGAGAGGAGTTGAAAAGAGACTGGAGAAGTAGAAAGTGTCTGCATTCTGCAGGAACTTATATTGTATAAAAAGAATTTCTCTTTTTTCTAAGTGCAATGTGAAGCCAATGAAGTGCTCTAAACGGGTGATGTGATTTGATTGAATTTATTACTTCACTTAACAAATATTCATTACATGCCCACTGTTTGTCAGATATTGCTGTAGCCCCTGGTGATACAGTAGGGAATAAAACAGGCAAAAATCCCTGTCCTCTTGCAGCTTATAATGGACTGCAATGTTTAATATGTCAGAGGAGGTCCACGGAGGAGTGACTTCTAAGCAAGAATCTGAAAAAAATGAGGATATCTAAGGAGGGAACAAATGGTTCAAAAGCCCTATAATTGCAAGCAGGCATGATGAAGCAATTGTAGTTGTCGTGACTCTCAACACCGTGGAACTCAAAGGAGATGGAAAGATTCTTTCTCTCTATCCTATATTTTCTCTCTTTCTGTCTATATATATAGAATATGAGACATTTCCCTAATCATTTATGTGTAATTACAATTACATATATATATGTATGTAATATATAAACATATATATGTAATTGTAATTACACATAATGATTAGGGAAATGTCTCATATTCTTCTACTCAGAAATAAGCAATATAGCAATTACTGTTTTTTACATTTTACAGTTACAGTTTCAGAGAAAGTTTGATATTTATCAAAAATTTTTCAATGTATGAACTTTTTCATTTGACAAACCATAATTGTACATATTCTTGGGATACAGAGTGATATTTCTTTACATGTATAGAATGTGTAATGATCAAATCAGGGTAATTTCCACTAATTTAAAATGCCACCTTTATGTTATTGTAATTTATATATATTCTATATATATATACACACACACATATATATACATGTCCACATACAGTGTGTGTGTGCACATGTACACACATGCATATGTGTATATAATGCCCAGTATAAGCAATGTGCACAAATAAAATTAGCTAACAGAGATAGTATAGAGTGAGAGGAGAGGGAGATTAATCTTCGAGGAAAAGCACAATTTTATGGCTGAATGGAGAAAGCTGAGGTGGTTTCTAAGATGGAGAATAAGACGAAAAATGTAAGTACATTGTTTGACTGAATTCAAGAAAGAAGGGTAAAAGAGAAGTAAGTAGTGGTCTTATCATTAAATGCCACAGAGAGGTAAAGATAAAAACAACATATTGTTTTGGGTTTAGTAATTTAAGGGTTACCAAATTCCGTTTTGGAGGAGGAACAGATTCCATGTCCACTAGAATGGAATGAACAAGAAATGGAGGAGGAAAATAGGTAGTTTTTCAAAAGTTTTCAAAAATATGAAAAGAAGAAATGAAATGGTACTTGGAAGAGATTGTTGAAATGGGAGAGACTATGGTGGCTTGTTTAGAAGCAGTTGAGATAGATCCAATTGAGATAGAGATATTGAGTATATAAACAAAAGAATGACAAATTAATAGTGTAATGGATAACTTGACTTTGGCAAATATTGTGAATTTTTGTGAAAGTACAACTAAAAGGCAATGTCACTCCAATAATCACCAGAGTAATCAATTTGCTTATTGCTGTCCCTTTAAATATAGTTCTCTGGTATCAACTAACATGTTTTTAACTAATGATGCTTCTTAAAGAAAAGGGAAAAGACCTTTTTCTTTCTTTCAGTCTTCAATGATTCACTGCTTCATCTCGCTCCACCAAAGATAAATGAAATCTACATCTCTTATACATTAACAATGCATGACAATTTATAAATAGCTAAATTTTTGGAGCTAACTTTAAGTACCTGAATGGAATTTAATCAACCCACTAATCTCCTTCTCACTTCTCAGTTATTTATCAAGTTTATGTCAAGGGACAAGGAAAAATTATCCAAACATTGTTTAAAACAATCATCATTAATTAGTAACACTTATCCAGGGGGGTTTTTAACCTTTCCCCCACTCAAGGATTATTCTAATGTCAGAGTAGAATAAAAAATAAGTGCAGCGATGCTGACTCTTCCAAGCTTAACATTTCTCACAAGTCAATTAGCTTTGTACTGGGAGGAGGGCGTGAAGGGCTGCTTGCGGTAGTTGTGTAGCAGCAGCACAATGGCCGCAGACAAGGAAAACAGTTTCTAGGAATTCCTCGTATATAATTTTATATTTTTGACAAGATTAATGACCCATGCTCCCTTCCTCTCCATTTCTTTTTTTGGAATTCTGTTGGTATGTAGTTACTATGTTTTATTAAAGGAAATTAGCCTTATCTCTTATTATATTTTATTAAAGAAAATTATTATATTATTCCTTTATATTTTTATTAAAGGAATTTATTATTATTATTATTAAAGGAAATTAGCCTTATCTCTTATTATATTTTTTATGACCTTCAAAGTAGTGTCTCTGCTTAAAAGTGTACCTTGGCCGGGCGTAGTGGCTCACACCTGTAATTCCAGCACTTTGGGAGGCCGAGGCAGGTGGATCACGAGGTCAGGAGATCGAGACCATCCTGGCTAACACGGTGAAACCCCGTCTGTACTAAAAATACAAAAAATTAGCAGGGCATAGTGGCGGGCGCCTGTAGTCCCAGCTACTCGGGAGGCTGAGGCAGGAGAATGGCGTGAACCCAGGAGACGGAGCTTGCGGTGAGCTGAGATCGCACCGCTGCACTCCAGCCTCGGCGACAGAGCAAGACTCCGTCTCAAAAAAAAAAAAAAAAATGTGTACCCTGAAGCACACATCAAGCGACATGTAGAGTTCATAAATTCTGGCCAAATGGTCATACCTCAAACCTAATCAGCACTAAGGCTCTTTACTTGCACTGACAAATATGAATGCTGGGGAATTTGGAAATGATATATAATATATAATATTATATATATAATAGATATATAATATATAATATTATATATATAATAGATATATAATATATAATATATATAAAATAGATATATAATATTATATATATAATAGATATATAATATATATATAATAGATATATTATATATAATAACTTTCCATGTGATTTTCCTCTTAATTTTTTTTCTAGCTGATCCATATGAATTCCTCTTATTAAGAAAAATAAAGCATCCAGGATTCAATGAAGAACTGACTATCACCTTGTTAATCATTCAGAAACATGTTGCAGACTTAAGCCATTTTTGATATACATACTGAAACAATTACTTGCTAAGAGCAAACTTGAAGGTATGGATAAGGCCCTGAGTCATCTTCCTGAGCTGAATGATAGTTAAGCTGAATGTACGTATAAAATATGATTTTCTAACCACTTGCTCGCCAACAAGGAAAACTTTTAAGTAGAGCAGAACCTGAATAGACAATATATTTCTTTCTTTTGGTAGAAAATGATTTACCATCACTGTCTAGTTAATTGTAGACTAGGTAATTTTAAATTTGTGATTTATTGCTGGAGACATTTTCTTCGGTACTGTAAAGTGTGTGTCAAAAAAATAGCGATTTTGGAGGATTAGGGGACTTTGATAAATTGCCTGCAATTCTGGCAGTATGAACTGCATATTAATTTTCTCTTTCAAGAACATTTTTATTTATTAATTCCTTACAAAAACTACCTAAACTTTGGAACAGCTCTCAATTGCCTGTATTCTTTTTTTTCTTATTATGGTACTCTTCTAGAGATTTGGCTTGCATCTATGAATAAGCCAGGACATCTTCAGAAATTGTCTGATTAAAAACACCACCAATGGAGTTTCATTAAATTTGTATTGCTCTGACTAGTGAAACACACACATCTATGTTGCTTAGGATATTTTACTGCAGTTTGAGTTGTAATAATAGCTCTGTTTATGATCCGTCAGTCACTTGAATCTTCTCTAAGGCTTTGTATGTTAGAAGTTAATTTGCTTTC
Organism: Homo sapiens; assembly: GCF_000001405.40. Taxonomy (NCBI): domain Eukaryota; kingdom Metazoa; phylum Chordata; class Mammalia; order Primates; family Hominidae; genus Homo; species Homo sapiens. The sequence continues at coordinate 103,634 of NW_021160000.1, forward strand.
TTACAAGGCCACATTCTATCTTGTAACTAAACAACTGAATTTTATGTCTTAGCGTAGATGGTTTATTACTTTCTGGTTTTTCTTTAGTAAGAATCCTATAAAAACACTAGTATTTTTCTCTGAGTTTAAAATTCAACATATGCCTACTGATATGGTTAGGCTTTGTATCCCCACCTGAATCTCATCTTGAATTGTAATCCCCATAGCCCCCATAATCCCCACATGTCAAGGGAGAGACCAGGTGGAGGTAATCCCCTTTGCTGTTCTTGTGATAGTGAGTTCTCACGAGATTTGATGGTTTTATAAGGGATTCTTTCCCCTTTGCTCGGCACTTCTTCATGCTTCCTTGCGAAGAAGCTGCCTTGCTTCCCCTTTGTCTTCCGCCATGATTGTAGATTTCCTGAGGCCTCCCAAGCTGTACTGAACTGTGAGCCAATTAAACTTCTTTCCTTTATAAATTACCCAGTCTTGGGCAGTTCTTTATAGCAGTATGAAAACAGACAAATACACCTACTATGTAAAACTTAAAATACAAAAAAACAAAACATTATCTCACTAATATAGGAGCTAATATTTTGGTGTACTTTGTTTAGTGTTTTATATTAAAAATATGTACATATATATTTATATATAATTAAGAACATTTATGTACAATCGTGCATACATCATGTACATACATCTACTTAGGAAAATAGCTATGTAATATACCATTACTCAACTAGATTATAATTTTTTCTCCATTTCTTTATTGTAAGTTATTTATCATTTTCTACTTTTTTGTTTTCTCATTTTTATTGCATAATATTTAATTATGCAAAAAATACATTAAATACATAGAAAATATATAATGTAGCTATAAGAATAAAGAACGATGGTAAAACAAATGCTAATACCCACTACCTGACTTAAAGAATATGATACTATTTTTTTCCAATTGAAATCCCCTCAACTACTCAGAATTACTGCTATCCCTTTTATCCTTTCATTAATTTTCTTCTAGTTTTCTCACATGTGAATCTATTTCTAAATACATTTCTTTATTTTGCAAGCTTTTGGACTTCATATAAGTGTAACCATATTGTATATATTCTTCTTCAGCTTCTTACTTTTTCACTAAACAATATGTTTTGCTGATACTTACATTCATATGTACAGTAATAGTTGATTTATTTTAATGGCTATATATTATTCCATTGTTAGAATACACCAGGATTTATTTTTACTTATTTTTTTTTGCTGGAAAATTGGGTGTCTTTTTTATTTTTTGATATAACAAACAATGTTGTAATCATTTTGTATTTACTTCCTAGTCCACTCCTGTAAGTTTCTCTTGAGTACATACTAGCAATGAAGATGCTGAGTCACTGCATATACATACTCACAACTTTATTCTATAATGTAATATTCTATAAAGTAGCTGTATCAGTTTATACTTTAACCAGTAATGGACAAGATTTTCTGTTACTTCCCATCTTTGTTAATTATTACTTTTAGACTCTAACTTTTATCAGGCTCATGGATGTAAAAAGCATCTCAGGGTGGTTTTAATTTGCATTTATCTGCTCATCTATGAAGATGAGCTTCTTTTCATATAATTATGAGTCATTATTTTTGTTTTGCCTTCTTTTGTTTATGCATTTTGCTTGTTCTATGTCTTATTTTTCCTGTTGATTTTTGGGAGTTCATATATATTCTAAATGTATATTTATTCACTCATATATATGTTGCAAGTATTACAGTTTATGATTTGTCACCTTATGATATCATCCAAATAGAGAAGCTTTATATTTTGATGTAGTCATATGTTCATTTTTCCTCCTTAATGTTTGTTTTTCTTGGTTCTATGACCTACCAAAAGTAACAAAAATTCTCATTTATTTTTAATCTAAATGTTTTAAGTATTTTCCTGGAATTCACCTTGAATTGATTTCTATTGGAGATAGGTATCCAATCTAATTTGCCTCATATGGATAACCACTTGTTCTATTACTGCTGTAACAAATTTCTACAAACTAAGTGACCTAAAATAACACAAACTTATCATCTTACAGTGTACACAAGTCAGAAAGCAGGCATGAATTTTAGTGAACTAAAATCAAGTTGTCGACAGGCATGTTTCTTTATGGCGGCTAGGGTAGAATCCATACCCTGGCCTTTTCTATCTTCTAGAGAACATCAGCATTCCTTTTCTCGTTGCCTCTCCTCTCTCTTTTTAAAGCTGGGAATGTCACATTTCTCTGACCATTCTTTCATTGTCACATCTCTCTCTGGACTCAGCTAAGAAAGGTTCTCCATTTTTAAGAACTCATGTGATTAGACTGGGCCCATCTGGATAACCCAGGAAGATCTCTCCATCTTGGTTTGCATTCTTAATCACATCTGATAAGCCTTTATTGCATTCAGTGTAACATATTCACAGGTTCCAGGGTTAGGCATGGGGATCTTTGAGGGCCATTATACTCCCTACCACATTATTTGCCTAGCATCTTTCATTACATTGTCCATCTCTTTACTTACTGATTTCTAATGACATCCAAATCAGTTACAACATTTTATGTAAGCATTGTTTTTATTTTTATGTTATTCCACTAGTCTATTTTTCTACTCATGAATTATGGTACATGAGTTTATTTTTGCAACTTTAAGCTCAATAACATGTTTTAAGATTTCCTCAACTTTCTTTTTCCACTTCTTCAGAAGTTGACTCTTTTGGCCCTTTGGTCTTCTATACACATTTTAGAAATGCTTTGTTGAGGACTAAGAGGAGTGCTAAGATTTTGATAGGAATTTCATTGAATTTTGAGTATATTGCCATGCTACAATGGTTAGTGTTTTATACATGAAAATAATATATCCCTTCCTTTTTTCCTAGTATCATGAGATGTTTGTTAGGCATGCATGAATATTGAGTTGTATCAAATGTGTTTTTCTGCATTATTGTGGTGGTGATGTGATTTAGCTCCTTTAATTAGTTAATGTAATGAATTACATTTGTAGATTGCTCTAACTATTGAAACAAGCTTGAATTTCTGGAATAAGCCCAATGTGATATTTATTCAACAAATATTCATTGAGTATACCTAGTATGTAACATGCCTTAAGAATACACCAGTGAACCAAACAGAAATATCTGACATTACAGAACTTAACATTCCAGTATTTGGAGACAGACGATAAAAAAGTGAACATGTATATTTACAGTTTGTCAAGGAATGATAAATGAAGACTCTTAAAGTAGATGGGGAATTGGGAGTGAAGTCTGTAATTTAAATAGGGTGGGCAGGAAAGCTTCACAGAGAATGGGACATTTAAGAATAGACTTGAAGGACAGGCAAGAGCAATCTCTATGTTTATATGGGAGAAAAGGTTCCAGGCAGATGCAGTAACAATGGCAAATATCCTGAAGTAGGATCATGCTGGAGTTTTTGTGGAGCAGCAAGGAGGCTAGTGTGACTGCCACAGAATCACCCAAGGGAAGATGAGAAGATCAGACCAGACCAGCATTTGGGCATCTAATGGGAAAAGTTTCTCAAGCCATCATAAAGATTTCACTTTTACTATAAATACTATGAGAAACCATGGGATGTTTTACAGTAAGAAAGGTGGCATAATATGTTACATGTTTTAAACAAACTCTATAGCTTCTGAGTTGAAATAGATTGTAGGGGCTCATGGCAGAAGCAGAGGGAACATTTAGGAGGCTACTGTAAAGAATATCATGAAAAGAACAAACAACGCTATGTAACATGCTTAAATGGACTGAAGAAGATGTATAAAATCAAAATGATGTTACCTTCACACCTTGAATCAGTACAATAACCCCCCCTCCCCAATCACAAAAGAAAAACTAAACACAAAAACCAGGCTTTGGTTGCTCAGACAATTTTACAGGTGAGTTCTAGCAAACATGCAAAGAACGTTTAATTGCACTGTTACAGAAATTCTTCTGGAGAAAAGAAAATAAGACACATCACCCAACTAATTTCATGATAACAATGTCAATGTATAATAACAGAAAAAGAGGATCTCCAAAGAAATACATTTATTTGGAAATAAACAAGGATTATAATCTGAGATATTTGTGCTATGATCAATCATAGGTGCATCCCAAGAGGTTGAGGTAAGGAAAATATTTAAAGACAAAAAGAAGTCTATGCAAGCTGTTTTGAAACAAACATCATTGGTCACAGGGCCTGATGCAGGAGCTGGTGTTAACTTACTGGCAGAAACAGCCATTGCTAGGCAAGTGTTCTTGTGAGGGTGGCTTATCTGAAATGCTGCAGTCTTGAGGAATTTTTTATGATAGGTCCTATTATAAAGACACCTACAGGATGAGCTGGACAAACAGAATGTGAGTTTATAGAAAGTCCTTGTGATAGTGCTTATTGTGGACACACAAGATCCCCTTTTTCATGACCCGGCTCCACTTTGCTTTGGGTCTGATGTAAGTGACTTTGCCTTGTCATTGGCAACTTTCACTGTAGTATAATCTGCACATTAAAGTTACCTAACAATAGTACAAAGAAAGAAAATTAAAGGTATATCTCTTTCAAAAACATAAACCCCAAAATTGTTAGGAAATTGTAGTGAGTATAAAAGATAATTCATTATAATTGACATCTCAAGCTTCACAGAATTCTGACCTTTGCTACACTCTCATCCACAATCTTTTTCTCCTAGTAAATGGCAGCTCCTTCTGTTAAGTTGCTGAGGCTTCTTATTGCTTTTTTCTCCAAATAACAGTCAGAACTGAACAACTGTAATCATCCTAGTCCATACAATTGTTATATTTTCATTTAAAGAAGATCAATGTGTGATTCTTTTTTTATATATTTCTGGACAATTCTTTATATTTTAATAATAGTCAGAATTTGATCAGGAAAACAGAAGACATCCTATGTATTATAATGATAAAAGTTTAATATTAATTAGGGCCTTATGTTATTATTGGAAGAGCTTGGTGAATAGATATTAGAAAAGCAGCTAGACAAAATCAGAAGAGGTCTGCTTTATATCAGAGATCTTAGTCTGACAGTCTAGAGTGTGGGCACAGAACCCAAGCTTATAGGAATTTCTGAAAGGTCTGTAAATCTTATCCAGATGGACAGTGGGAGCTCATAAAGAATTCTGCAAGCCATCACATCTGTCAAACCTGCTGTGTCTAATCCTTAAGCCTGCTTTATGTGAAGACCTCCTCTTCACTCCTCACTTCCAGCTCTCATGAGTTTCCTTCATAGGCAAACCCAAACCTGGAACAATGTGCCTGAAGACTTCGGGTGACACAGTACCCAGACTTAAATAGGAGGGGAGCCATGGTGGAAGTGGCCATCCAGCACAATTTTCTTGGTCTTTACTTATAGTTTTGATTCCTTAAAAAAATTAACCACATTAAAATATGTGTTTCATAATCTACATCTAATAATACAAATATTTGAAGTCTTTTCAAATTTGAATATGCTACCCATGTTGCTGCTGCCCCCATTTTGTGTGTGTGATTTTTGTGTGTGTGTGTTAGAAGCTCATGACCTTTGAAACCTGCTCTTATGAGCTTGCTTTGATGATTTATTTGTCCAGAGAGGATTTTTTTTCCTACCTGGCATTTTGGACTGCTATCAACCTGAGACCACTTTGAATTAAATTCTCAGCTTGCAAATTTGGAAGCCACACAGATTGTGTGAGTTCAGGCTGAAACCTGTTTGAGAGCTGGATTCTGGCTATAAACTCTACAGGGAACATTTTCTCTCTCCACTCAGAGCTGAGACCATAGGTAAATTTATTTGCTAGCTCTCTTTTCAAGTTTATTTTATTTATTTTTTTAATTTCTAGTACACGTGCTCACTGAAGGTGTAATACTTAAGTGAGAATCTCAAAATCAGTTGTGTTCTTTGTATGACCCTGGTTTTGTTTCCTCCTGCTCTCTTACTTTCAATGTGTCTCAATATGTCTGCTGATGCTATGGTCATCTTAAATTTTGACTGAGGGTGGATCTTCTTCCCAGCTCACTCACATGGTTCTTAGCTAGATTCAGTTTCTCTCCATTTGTAGGACTGAGGACCTCAGTTCTTCACTTAGGGTTGGCTACAAGCAATCATCAATTTCTTCTAACAGGACTTACACTGGGCCACTGACAGCATGCCAGTTGGCTTCATTCAAATGAGAGGGCAAGAGAAAGAGAGAGAGGGAGAGGGCACAAGATGAAATTCACAGTATCTTATAATCTAATCTCAGAAGTGGCATCTCATTACTTTTGTTCTATTCTATTCAATAGAAACAAGTACCTGGGACCAGCTTATACTATAGGACCAGCTTATACTTATATAAGGGTATAAATACCAAGAGGTAGAGATCATCAAGAGCCATTCTGGTAGCAGCCACAATATCTTATCCAGAATATTTCTTATTCAGGCCTTCAAATGTGCCGTCTTTTCTGGTCTAATGGAAGTAAACCTTCCTTCCATACAATTTCTTCTCCTAAATTGTACTCTGGCTCTCTTATCACATACAAATGTCTATGTTAGGTATTTGTGTCTGTCTTGATTCTTGGTAGGCTTCTAAACTCTGTGAATGTTGGACTGTGATGTAGATATCATTTCACCGCACACTCTGTAACCACCAAACCTTAGCAGCTTATTCAGTAAGCACATACTTGGCTCTTAATGAGTATTGCTTAAATTGATGAATTGAATTAGTATTTTACCTTCTCTGTTGCTTAGCTAAGCAGAAGAATTTTTCATTTTTTTTAATTTAGTGACTGGTTCTATTAAAAGTTACCTTTGTCTATATCATTTTGTTATACTAAAGCACAAATGTATAAGGTCAAAAAACATTCTCAAGATTTTGTTTAAACCACAGCCCTCAGTTGTGTATATTTATCTCTTGTTTTCATATGCAAGATTTCTCCTGAAATGGGCAACAATTACAAGAGTTTTTTCCCTCTTCTGAACGAAGAAAATAAATATTTAATTCACAAGTTTAGAAGAGTGAACCTGAAAAATCACAGGGCTAGGTGGGTTATGAGGCCTACTGGTACATGATAGTGTTGAATGTGGATTAGAATGAACTCCGTGGAGTAGAATCTCAGACCATAGGCAAACATTTACTTGTTTTAGAATAAGCACATTTGAGTCTGCAATAAGTATTACTATTTTTAAGTTGAAAATGTAATTGGTTTCTAATAATAACCATATTGGCTAGCATTATTTCAATCGTGTTTAATGTTTTCCAATGTCATTTCATGTCAGATATCTCTCTTGATTCTTAGTAACAATTTGGACAAGACAGCAAATGCTATTGTCCAAGTTTTCTAAAGAAGAATCTGAAGTGAAATGATATCAAGAGACCTATCAAGACCTGTATCCAGGAAAAGGTAAATCTGAGCTGAAATTGTATCCGTTGTAAATTACCTACGTGACATACCAGATAGTGTTCATGATCCATTTAGTACTCTGTTCTAAAAATGAAACAATATCCATTTATTCATTTGTTCATTTATTTAGTGTTTGTTCAGCCCTTACTGCATATTCCAGGCACTATTCTGACTGTGGCAGGAGTGAACAAACAGGCATGGTTCTTACTTGTATGTAATTACAGTCTTATAGTGAAAACAAGTGTTAAACAACAAAATCTCCCAATTATTTTAAAATTATAAACTTGATTCGATACTATGTGGCCATATAATTGTTCCTAATTTGGTTGGAGAAGGGAGGCAGTTAGGGAAGCCTTCCCTGAGTTAGTGCCATTCAACCTGAATTATGATAGATGATAAGTAATTTGTCAGGGGAAAAATACTCCAGGAATAAAGAACAGGTACAAAGGTCAGGTTCTGGGAAGAGCTTGTCTTGGTCCAGGAATTAAAAAATGTTAGAGTGGCTGGATCTGGGAAGGAGACAAAAAGTTATTAAATGAGGCAGCAGGCTTCAGCAGGTGCCACATTGCTCAGGGCCTTGTAGGCCATGCTAAGGATTTGGGATGTTAATGTCAGTACAAACAATTGAGTCATAAGCAGAAAGTAAAAGCATGATTCCATCAAATGTTTTTCTCTAAACAGTAATTTTATAAATACAGGTTAAATGTGTGTTGTCCCAGCTACTCAGGAGGTCCCAGCTACTCTGTATTCTTTTTCAACAAATATTAGGTGCCTACCATTAGCCAGGTACAGCCCTTAGCTACTTTGAATGAAGCATATATTACAAACTGGCAGAATTTCTTAAACAAAGAATCTAGAGATTGTTTTTACACCATAATCTCGGTATTTTATAAATTTCTTGAAATTATTTTTATTTACACTGCTTTGCAGAATTTTAACTGGCTTTGAAATAAACAATGACAATAGTCCTCCATGTTACTAGTTTCAAATTTTCCCAATACCTACTAAGACATTACTTAATCCACAGATTTATTGTCAATAGTTTGTATCAAATTGTGATAACATATTTGAAATTAATATTTCAAATTAAAGCAAAATCACAAATTTATACTTTATATTATGAATGAGATTCACAAAAGGAGCATGATAATATATTCTGTTGTCATCGCATACAAAATAATAACATATAGAGTATGAATCAATAATTTTTCAAATACAAAGCTTTTACAATTAGGAATACAAAGAAATCATAATTAGGAATACCTCTACAATATTAACACACAATAGTGGTAACACTTGCAAAATGATGGTGGTGGTTTTTTTTTTTTTTTTTCCCCGACAGAGTCTTGCTCTTGTTGCCCAGGCTGGAGTGCAATGGCGTGATTTTGGCTCACTGTAAACTCCACCTCCTGGGTTCAAGTGATTCTCCTGCCTCAGCCTCCCTAGTAGCTGGTATTACAGGTGCCTGCCACCACACTCAGCTAATTTTTGTATTTTTAGTAGAGATGGGGGTTTCACCATGTTGGCCAGCCTGGTCCCGAACTCCTGACCTTAGGTGATCCACCAGCATCGGCCTCCCAAAGTGCTGGGATTACAGGTGTGAGCCACTGCCTCCAGCCAGTGGTGGGTTTCATATCTCAATGTGGACTTTTACTAACTCCCGATGCCTCAGTTTCCTCATCAGTTGAAAGGAATGAATGAAAGATATGTGTTTTTCATATTACCAGGTAGATGATAAGATGATTTTAATTTTCTTTTTTTTTTAACTTTTATTTTAAGTTTAGGGGCATTTGTTACATAGGTAAACTGGTGTCACAGGGGGTTATTGTACAGATTATTTCATCACCCAGGTATTAAACCTAGTACCCAATAGTTATCTTTTCTGCTTCTCTTCCTTTTCTCACCCTCCACCCTCAAGTAGACCCCAGTGTCTGTTTTATTCTTTGTGTTCATTAGTTCTCATCATTTACCTCCCACTTATAACTGAGAGTATGCTGTATTTGGTTTTCTGTTCCTGCATTAGTTTGCTAAGGATAATAGAAGGTCCATCCATATTCCAGCAAAAGACATGATATCATTTTTTAATGGCGGCATAGTATTCCATGGTGTATATGTACCACATTTTCTTTATCCAATCTGTCATTGATGGGCATTTAGGTTGATCCTATACTTTTGCTATTGTGAACAGTGCTGCAATGAACATTTGTATGCATGTGTCTTTATGGTAGAATGGTTTATATTCATCTGGGTATATACCCAGTAGTGGGATTACTGGGTCGAATGGTAGCTCTGCTTTTAGCTCTTTGAGGAATCACTATTCTTTGCACAATGATTGAACTGATTTGCACACCCACCAACAGTGTATAAGCATTCCCTTTTCTCCATAGCCTCACTAGCATCTGTTATTTTTTGACTTTTTAATGATAGCCATTCTGACTGGTGTGAGATGGTATCTCATTATGGTTTTGATTTGCATTTCTCTAATGATCAGTGGTGTTGAATTTTTTTTTGTATGTTTGTTGGCTGCATGCATGTATTCTTTTGAAAAGTGTCTGTTCATTCCCTTTGCCCAATTTTAATGGGATTGATTGTTTTTCTTTTGTAAATTTCTTTACATTCGAAATGTTTTTATTATTAAGTTGAGGTGCCTCATTCTTAGTATGGTTTTTCACTTTAAAATCCATAAGGGTGGACATGGTGGCATATGCTAGTAATCCCAACTACTGGGGAGACTAATACAGGAGGATTGCTTGAGCCCAGGAGTTCAAGGCTATAATGTGCTATGATCATGACGGTGAACAACCACTGTACTGCAGCCTGGGCAGAGTGACATAGTGAAACCACATCTCTAAAAAAAGAGAAAATGTAATTTAAATCTTTAAATACATATGTATATGTGTGTATATATGTATATATATTGCATATATGAAAAATGGTTTGTAGTTTCCATTCACAGCACATAGTAAAATGTCTTAACCTCCTCCCTCCTCCCTATGTGTGTTTTTCTAAGTGTGTGTCTTTTTTACCTTAATTTTTCTCTTAGTGTCTCATAGTCTTCCTAGGTCTCCCTCTTTCTTCTGTCTTTCACACACACACACACACACACACACACACACACACACGCATACACACATGTACCTTGAAAAATAGCTTTTCTTTTTCTTAAAACTTCCCAAAGCTTTCATAAAATTAGCCCTCAGGCACTCTTACGTATCTCATCCACTCTTCTTCCTCTTTCCCCTTCCTGAAGCCATTTGTAACTTACTCTATTACACTAGGAAGGGGAAGCAAATATTCATATTATTTTCTTGTTATATCCTTAACATTACTAGACCTTTGTGGTTTCTATGGATGAGGGACATAATATTTATTGATTTATTCTAAACTTCAGTCACTCATAATATACCCTTTTATTCCTCCTTCTTCTGTGATATTGGGAGTGTATAGTTGTCATTGTGACAAACCCTTTGCTGTCAGTATCTAAAGTGGATGGGGAGAAAAGGAGGGCTTTGCCAATCATCATCTCCAGTGCATTTCCCACTGTCAGCGTCATTGTCTAATGCTGTTTGCATCCACACAGCCTAAGGGAACCGTTTAAGTGAGTGACTCCCTCCCTTCACTTCAGCCCATCACTTGAGCATTTCTCTCCCTTGAAAAAAGACAAGTGGTGCTTCTAAGACTTGAGTAATTCTGAATATAATTGAGGACTAGATGTCCCTGTTTTATATCCTACAGGGCTGGCATCTCTAATGCTGAAAGTACAACAAAGTGCAGTGGTAGTCACTGAGTGTTCAGCCATGCTGGGTCATCAAAATAAAAGGAGATCGTCTTCCCATTCCTATCAATGACCTCATCTCTACCAGATATATAACTGGAAAAACAATGCATTTGCTTAAACATCCACAGTGAGCCACATTTGTTTGGTATTGTGGGGAAATGATGGAGAAGCATCCTTGTTTATTAAGGATCCAATTTTGATAGGCTGAGGCATATTTTTCCTCCCAAGTCTGCACATGGTCATGCATTAAATATTAATGAGCATCTTCTCTCTATCAGGCTTTGGGGGATATGTTCACCTCTTGGGAGGTGAACATGATAAATAAGATCCTTTCTCTCATGTAGCATTCTCTCCATTCTTTTTTTTTTTTTTTGATAGGGACTAGCTCTGTCACCTAGGCTAGAGTGCAGTGGTGCAAACATGACTCACTGCAGCCTTGAACTCATGGACTCAAGTGTTCCTCAAGTGATCCTCTTGCCTCCACAACATCCAGCTAACTTTTAAAAAATTTTTTGAAGAGAAGGTTTTGCCATGTTGCCTCAGCCTCCTGAAGTGGTGGGATTACAGGTGTGAGCCGCTGCACCTGGCCACATTTTCTTTCCATTCTTATGGAAGGCAGTAGTCAGCAAAACAGTTAATCAATTGAGAATATATTAGGTTGTTATAGGAACCATGAAAAAATAAAATAGAGTGTGTAAAGAAGGCTTGATGGCCAGGAAGCTTTTACAGGGAAGTGACATTTGAACTGAGACCAAATACTTAAAGAAGCCAGTTCTTTGAAGAGTTGATGGGAAAGTATTCCAAGAAGTGGGAATGGCAAGGGGAAAAGACTTAAGATGTAACCCCAGAATGATTAAGGAGGAGGATGGTACAAGAGGATGTCAGAAACATAGCCAGGAAAGAGAGCTATGCTTAAGTATTAGGATTTTATTCTTTGCAAAGGAAAAGCCCATTAAAGCTTTAAAGCAAGGACCTAAGAGTTAACATAATTTTTTAAGGTACCTTAAAAATTTTGCTGAATGAAGAATTCGTTGAAGTGAGTCAGGAATGTATGATTTTGGACAATTGACACAATGCCTGAGGCATAGTTTCTTCATATGGAAATTGGAGACAATGATCATATCTACCTTAGCAGATTATATAATGAATTATTTTCCTAGGGCTCCTGTAATAAAGTACCACAAACTGGGTAACTTAAGCAACAGAAATTTATTGCCTCACAATTCTAGAGGTGAGAAGTCCAGATCAAGAAGCTGGCAGGGCTGGGCTGCCTGAAAAGATGCTAAAGAATGAACTGTTCCAGTCCTCTTTCTCTCCTTCCAGTAGTTCCTTGGCTTGTGACAGCACAGTGTCAATTCTCATATGGCATCCTCCCCGTGTGCCTGTCTCTATGTCCAAATCTCCCTTTTATTTAAGGACAGAGTCACAGTGGATTAGAACACCCCTATAACATGAAGATTGCACGAAATTATGTACATAAATAATTCAACAACATAGCTTCCAAATAGAAAACACTCAGCCTTTGTCATCTCATCATTATTTGTTTACACATTTGTATTATTGGTATAGCTCTAGTCTTTTGAAAGGTGCAGTTACTCATCTTTGTGTTTTCCACTCCTTTATAGCTAAGTGTAAGGTGCTTTTGCAAAATCCAGTACTGCATATTTGAGAAATACTTTTTATTCCTACACATACTACATATACTGTTACACAATTTGATTTTGTGGGTCTAATGAAGTTGGTCTTTCTATGAGTTCCTATGGCTAAAAATAGTCATAATTGTGTACTCCCGTAAATTGTTAGAATGAAGGAAAATACTTTGAGTGAAATTATCAATCTGGTTTTTCTGACTTCAGCTGTGTGTCATGTTTGGTTAGTCAAGAGAAGCATCTAATGTGAGGCCCCTGGAGGACAGCTGATAAGTAAGCATACCAAGTAGAATGGCTACTGGAAAAAGTGTGCCAGCTAGAGAGAGAGAGAAAAGAGAGAGTTAATTTACCATTTGCTCAAGTAAGGAATGATCCACAAATTCAACTAAATCTAAGTAGTCTTAAAGGACATGTCATTGACAGATTTATCTTCTAGTCTCCCACTTTGTCTAACACTGCTTCAAAACAAAGCAATTTACTGAACCCAGTGGTCTCATTATTCTGGAGGTTTATAAGGTTAAAAATACCTGGAGTTTTGGGAGCAGCAATAGCACTGAAGTGGGATATTAGTAGTGATGCATGTGTTTGCAGCACCTGTGAACACACAGAAACTGAAGTTTGAAGGCTGATGACCCTGAGTTAGGGCAAAAGATAAAACTTTTTATTAGATTTTTTTAATGTCAAGAAGAAAATTATTTATCTCCACATTTCTTGAATATTATCCTCTTACAATTAGGTCAATGATTCTCACCCCAGTTATATATTAAAATTACCTGGAGATATATAAAAACTATCAATGTTCTACTCTTCTACAGATTAAATCATCATCACTGAGGGTGGCCCTCCAGCAACCAGGTTTGAGAACCACTTTAGACCAGAATTTTTCTCTGTGCCATTCAGTAATGACAATGATAGCTGTAGGATATGCAAATTGCAGAAAGACAACTGCAAATGATTTAGCTTATCCCCAAACAGCTGAACTATCTTAAGCCTCATGGCTACTTTAGAGTGACCAAATCCATGTAGATGCCAGAAGTTGTGTCATACACCTATTTCAAGGGACACATAGAATTTACCTATATATACCTACCTCAAGGGTCATGTCGGTTTACCATTCCCCTAAACAACAGCTTAATAGTATAAACTGCTGAACTGCTGTCTGCCTAATATTTATTGTGGCTATACTTCTTCTTTTCTGTATTAAAGGCCACTGCTTTTCCCAGCTTGCTCTTTGTTCTCCATCATCTGTTGTGGGTCAATTGTGCTTTCTGTTTTTAACATCCGTGTTGCTGAAGTCATTTCTCCAATTCATGATCCATGAAACTACTTCAGCAGTGAAAATGGCGCCCCTCAGGTTCAAGTCAACATTTTTATATTTCCCTCTAGGTCAAGATCCAAGCTATGGAAGAAATCAGGATATGTCAATTTTCTAGAGCAGCCAAGTTTTCTAAAAGTCTACCTAGCCATGTAGTTATGTAGTCTCACTCTCACTTAAACAAAGAAAATTAAAAAGCACACCAGAAAAGACTTTTCTTGTTAAAAACACATGTTTATTGTAGAAAATATAGTAAGGAAAAAGAAGAAAATATAAGGCAACTAGAATTTCTCTAGTTAGAGATAACTATTATTTATTTGAGTGTGTGTATATATCTATATATATATATATATATTGACATTCAGCTCTTATGTACTAGATACACACATCTACTGTTTCATAAGCTTTTTTCACAGAATAGATTATAATCAGTTATGTTTGTTATCACCACAACATTTTCTTCTTGAAGACCTTCTGGAATGAGGCATTTGCTTTTCTATCTAGAGACCCTATCCTTTCAAAAGGTCCTTTCTCTGTGGAAAGAGCTATTCTGGCCACAGTTACTGCCAAGAAACGAGGTGTTAGAAAAGGCCTAAAGTTAAGTGCAGAACTGCTGTGTTTTGATGAATATTCTGTTGTTTTGAGAGGAGGTAGAAGCATTCTCAGCTTCAGGATATTTGCTCACTACTCATTAGTCTCTCTGAGAAGTAGCAAACTTCAAAGGTTAAGTATGAAGAAATGAATTGTGTAATGCCTAGATGTCAGTAGCGGAGAAGGTATCTGAGCAAATTCAGAATTTTATCCCTGTCTCCATGGGCCTAGTGTGAAGAACAGTCATTTGTGTAAGTGGGTCTTTGTGTATATGGTACTGAATCAGGTCACTGAGTCAGAAACTTAGAGCAGTAAGGAAAGTGTGGTGCTCTCCAGTCCAGTGTTCTGGAATTTATTCTGCAGTGGCCCCCAACAGCAGGTGGCAGCCTTGTCCATGATTGTATTCTTAAGTGACATGGTATTACTCTTTCTATTTGCAATCCATTTCACTGATGGATAGTTCTAGAGATCTGAAATATTGAGATTTAGCTCAGTGTTGTTTATATGAAGATAAATTCCGCTTTCCAACAACTCTCTTGTATGTGTCTAACGTCTGCCGCATGGAATGTCACAGATTATGCTTCATACTTGTCTTCCTGAGTCTTCTTTATCCCGAACACCCTGAGTTTTTGAATGGTTGACATGCCAGCTGGCTTTCTGCAGATGTACTTCTCGTGTGTAAATTTCCTTCTCTGTGAGGTATTCATATTGAACATGACCTCCAAGTGTGTTTGGGTCTGTGCAGAAGACAATAGGACTGTGATTTCTGATGATTAAAACCTGGATTGTATGTTACTGTGATCAGACCCTGAGACTGAGTTAGCAAGTTTTATAGCATCTGAGTCGTTCTGTTGGAGGAAAGTGCATGTGATGGGCATTTGCTTGCTTCCCCACAAGATTCTCTACCTTCACCCTTCCTGCAAGATTCCCTAGGAAGCTGACTTCTGCTGAATGCAACACTCAGGTTATCTGCTTCCTAGATTCTAGTTGAGTTTGGTCCATGGGAGGCCTTGGCAGAAATTTTGAGAGTAAGAGCAAATAATTACTTAACCATTAGAAAAAAATAACATGAATGTGTCCTTCTATCCATGGCCTCAGTTCCTGTTGGGGAGCCTCGGTGCCAATCCCTCGGTGCATCACCATTTCTAATTAGTTCCTGTTTTAGTCTGCTTTTGCTTGTGTGTGTGTGTGTGTGTGTGTGTATGTTGTTATAAAGGAATACCAGAGGCTGAGTAATTTTAAAGAAGAGAGGTTTATTTGGTTCACAGTTCTGAAGGCGTGCAAGAAGCATGGTGCCACCATTTGCTTCTGGTGAGGGCTTTAGGCTGTTTCCACTCATGGCAGAAGGGGAAGGGAAGCTGGCATGTGCAGAGATCACATGGCGAGAGAGAGGGTTTTGTGCCAGGCTCTTGTTAACAACCAGCTCTTGTGGGAATTAAGAGAGCTAGAACTAGGTGGGCACGGTGGCTCATGCCTGTAATCCCAGCACTTTGGGAGGCCGAGGCAGGCGGATCACCTGAGGTCAGGAGTTTGAGACCAGCCTGGCCAACATGGTGAAACCCCGTCTCTACTAAAAATACCAAAAATTAGCTGGGCATAGTGGTGGGCACCTGTAATCCCAGCTACTCTGGAGGCTGACACAGGAGAATGGGTTGAACCCGTGAGGTGGAGGTTGCAGTGAGCCAAGATCGCACCACTACACTCCAACCTGGGCAGCAAGAGTGAAACTACATCTCAAAAAGAAAAAAAAGAGCCAGCAAGAACTCACTTGGATGGCACCAAGACATTCGTGAGAGGTCCACACTCAGGACCAAAACACCTCCCATTAGGCCCCCCCTCCAACAATGGGGATCACATTTCAACATGAGTTTGGAGTGGTCAAATATCTAAACCCTAGCAGTTCCCTTAAATGGAATGGAATGGTCTCGAATGGAATGGAATGGAATTTAATGGAACGGACTCTAATCGAAAGGAATCTCATGGAATGCAAAGAATGGACTCGAATGGAATAGAAAGGAGTGGACTTGAATTTAATGGAATGCAATGGAAAGGACTGCAATGGAATGAAATGGAATGGCCTCGAATGGAATGCAGTGGAATTGAATGGTCTCGAAAGGAATAGAATGGAATGCAATAGAATGGACTCAAATGAAATGGAATGGAATTCACTCCAATGGAATTGAATGGAAAGGAATGGAAAGGAATGGATTGGAATGGAATGGACTCAAATGGAATGGAATGGAATTGACTTGAATGGAATTGACTCGAGTGGAATGGAATGGAATTGAATGGAATGGAAAGGAAAGGCATGGACTAGAATGGATTTGAATGGAATGGAAAGGAAAGGAATGGACTAGAATGGAATGGAATGGAATTATCACAAAAGGAATGGAATGAAATGGAAAGAAATGGACTCAAATGGAATGGAAAGGAATGGAATGGACACATATGGAATGGAATGAAAAGACTGAAATGGAAAAGAAAGGAAAGGACATGGACTCGAATTGAATGGAAAGGAATGGACTCGAATGGAATGAACTTGAATAGAATGGAATGGAATGGACACGAATGGAATGGAATGGACTAGAATGGAATGGAGTGTAGTGGAATTGACTCGAGTGGAATGGAGTGAAATGGAATGGACTCGAATGAAATGGAATGCAATTGAATGGACTCGAATGGATTTGAATGGAATGAAAAGGACTTGAATGGAATGGAAGGGAAACGAATGGCATGGAATGGAACGGAATGGAATGGAGTGGAATGAAATGGAATGGACTCGAATGGAATGGAATGGACGTAAATGGAATAGAATGGAATGGAGTGGAATGGACTCGAATGTAATGTAATGGAATGTAGTCGAATGGAATGAAATGGACACGAATGGAATGGAATGGAATCGAATAGAATGAAATGGGATGGAATGGATTTGAGTGGAAAGGAATGGAATTGAATGTACTCAAATCGAATGGACTGGACTGGAATGGAATGTAATGGATTTCAGTGGAAAGAAATGGAATTGAATGTACTCAAATGGAATGGAATGGAATGGAATGGACTCGAATGGAATGGAATGGAATGGATTCGAGTGGAATGGAATGGAATTGAATGTACTCAAATGGAATGGAATGGAATAGAATTGACTCTAATTGAATGGAATGGAATGGACTCGAATGGAATGGACTGGACACGAATGGAATTGAATGCATTGGAATGGACTCGAATGGATTGTAATAGAATGGACTCGATTGGAATTGAGTGGACTTGAATGGACTCAAATTGAAAGAGTTGGAATAATCTTTAATGGAATGAAATGGAATGGAATGGAATTGAGTCAAATGGAATTGACTCCAGTGGAATGGAATGGACTTCAATGGAATGGAAAGGAAAGGAATGGAGTAGAATGGAATGGAATGGAATGATCACGAATGGAACGGAATGGAATGGAAAGAAATGGACTCAAATGGAATGGAAAGGAATGGAATGGACTCTAATGGAATGGAGTGCAAAAGACTAACATGGAAAAGAATGGAAAGGAATGGACTCGAATGGAATGTTCTCGAATAGAATTGAATGGAATGGACTCTAATGGAATGGAGTGGAATGAAATCGACTCAAGTGGAATGGAGTGGAATCAAATGGACTCGAATGAAATGGAATGCAATTTAATAAATTTGAATGGAATGGAATGGAATGGAATGGACTCGAATGGAATGGAAGGGACATGAATGGCCTGGAATGGAATGGAATGGACCCGAATTGAATGGAATGGAATGGACACGAATGGAATGGAATGGAAAGGAATGGAATGGAATGGAATGAAATGGAAATTACTCGAATGGAATGGACTCGAATGGAATGAAATGGAATGGAATGGACATGAATGGAATGGAATGGACCCGAATTGAATGGAATGGAATGGACACAAATGGAACGGAATGGAAAGGAATGGAATGGAATGGAATGAAATGGAAATTACTCGAATGGAATGGAATGGACTCGAATGGAATGGAATGGAATGGACATGAATGGAATAGAATGGAATGGATTCGAAAGCAACGGAATGGAATGGAATGAACCCGAATGGAATGGAATGGATTGGAATTTATTTGAATGCAACGGAATGGAATGGAATGAACTCAAATGGAATGGAATGGAATGGAATGGGAACGGCTTGAGTGGAATGGAATGCAATGGAATTGAATGGAATGGAATGGACTCGAATGGAATGGAAATGAATGGAATGGACTCGAGTGGAATGGAATGGAATGGAATCGACTCAAGTTGAATGGAATGGAATGAAATGGACTCGAATGAAATTAAATGCAATGGAATGAAATCGAGTGTAAAGGAATGGAATTTCCCCGAATGGAGTTCAATAGAATGGAAAAGATTCGAATGGAATGAATGGAATTGAAAGGTATTTAATGGAATGGAATGGACTCGAAAGTAACGGAAAGGATTGGAATGGATTGAATGACTGGAATTGAATGGAATGGACTCGAATGGAACGGAGTGAAATGGACTCGCAGTGAGTGGAATGGACTCGAATTCAAAGGAATGTAGTAGACCAGATTGGAATTGAATGGAAGGGAATGGATTGGAATGTAATGGAATGGAATGATCTTGAATGGAATAGAATGGAATAGAATGGATTGGAATGGAGTGGAATGGTTTGGAATGGACTCGATTGGAATGGAATGGAATGGAAGAGACTCGAATGGAATTGAATGCCATTTAATGGTTTGGTGTCTATTGGAATGGAGTCTAATGGAATGGAGGGGAGTCGAATGGAATAGAATGGAATGGAATGGACTCGAAAGGAATTTAATGCAATGGACACGAATGCAATGGAATGGAATGGACTGGTATTGAATGGAATAGAATGGAATGGAATGGAATGGACTTGAATGAAATAGAATGGAATGGACTGGAATGTACTCGAATGAAATGGAATAGAATGGAATGGAATGGATTAGACTCGAATGGAATGGAATGGAATGGAATGTACTAGAATGAAATAGAATAGAATGGAATGGAATGGACTCGAATGGAATGGAATGGACTCGAATGGAATGGAATGGAAAGGTATTGAATAGAATGCAATGTAATGGACTCGAATATAATGGAATGGAATGGAATTTAATGAAGAAGAATGGACTGGAATGGACTAGAACGGAATGGACTCGAAAGGTATGTAATGTAATGGAATGAAATGGACTCGAATTGAATGGAAACTAATGGAATGAAATGGACTCAAATTGAATGGAATGGAATGGAATGGAATGGAATGGAATGGAATGGAATGGAACGGAATGAAATGGACTCGAACGGATTGGAATGGAATGGAAGAGAAGAGAAGGGAATGGAATGGAATGGAAGGGACTCGAATTGAATGGAAAGAAATGGAATGAAATGGACTCAAATGGAATGGAAAGGAACGGAATGAAAATGACTCAAACAGATTGGAATAGAATGGAATAGAATGGAATGGAAGGGAAGGGAAGGGAAGTGAAGGGAACGGAATGGAAGGGAATGGAATGGAATGAAATGGAATGGAAAGGAATGGAATGGAATGGAATAGAATTGAATGGAGTGGATTAGTGTGGAATGGATCGGAGTACAATGGAATGGAATGGAATTGAATGGACTCGAAAGGAATGGAATGGAAAGAATGGAGTCGAATTGAATGGAGTCAATGGACTCGAATGGAATGGACTCCCATGGAAACGAATGGAATGGAATCAACTAGAGTGGAATTGAAGGGCATGGAATGGAATGCACTCCAAAGGCATGGAATGGAATTGAATCGAATGGAGCAGAAAGTAATGGACACGAATAGAATGGAATGGAATGAAATGGACTCGAATGGAATGGAATGGAATTGAATGGATTCGCATCGAATGGAATGGAATGGACTCGAATGCAATGGAATGGAATTGAATGGATTCGCATCGAATGGAATGAAATGGAATGGAATGGACTCGAATGCAATGGAATGGAATAGACTCGAATGGAATGGAATGGAATAGAATGGAACGGAATGGAATGGGATGGAATGGAATGGAAGGGAATGGAATGGAATGAAATAGAATGGAATGGAATCAAAAGAAATGGATTGGATTGGAACGGACTCGAATGGAATGCAGTGGAATGGACTCGAATACAATGGAATGGACTCGAATGGAATGGAATTGAAAGGAAACAACTCTAGTGCAATGGAATGTACTGGAATGGAATAGAATGGAAAGGAATGAAATGGAATGGCATGGCATGGAATGGAATGGAATGTACTCCAATGGAATGGAATGGAATGGAATGGACTCGAATGGAATGGAATGGAAAGGAATGGACTCGAATGGAATAGAATGCAATGGAAAGGAATGGACTTCAATGGAAAGGCATGGACTAGATTGGAACGGAATAAACCCGAATGTATTGTAATGGAATCAAATTGAATGGACTTGAAAGTAATGGAATGGAATGGACTGGATTCAAATGGAATGTAATTGAATGGAATGGACTCGAAAGGAATGGAATGGAATGGACCCGAATCAAGTGGGATGCAATGTAATGGAATGGAAGGGAATGGAATAGAATGGAATGGAATGGACTAGAACGGAATGGAATTGAATTGAATGGGATCGAAATGAATGGAATGGAGTGGAAGAATAAGAATGGAAAGGAAAGGAATGGAATGGACTAGAATGGAACGGAATGGAAAGGAACAGAATGGAATGGAATGGAATGGGCTCCAATGGAAGGGAAAGAACTCGAATGGAATGGAATAGTACGGAATTGAATCGAGTGGAATGGAAGGAACGGAATGGAATGGACTCTAATGGAAAGGAATTGAATGGACTCGAATGGAATGGAATGGAATGAAATCAACTTGAGTGGAATGGAATGTAATGGAATGGAATGGACTCAAATGGAAATGAAAGGAATTGACTCGAAAGAAATAGGAAGGATTGGACTTGAATGGACTGTAATGCAATGGAATGGAATGGAATGGAATGGACTCGAATGTAATGGAGTGGAATGGAATGGAATGGAATGGACTCAAATGGAATGGAGTGGAATGGAATCTAATAGAATGGAATGGAATTGAATGGACTCAAATAGAATGGAATGTAATGGTATGGAATGGACTCTAATGGAATGGAATGTAATGGAATGAAATGGACTCGAATGGAATGGAACAGAATGGAATGGACTCGAATGGAATGGAATGGAGTGGACTCGAATGGAATGGAATGGAATTTACCCAAACAAAATGGACTGGACTCGAATGGAATTGAATGTAATGGAAAAGACTACAGTCAAATGTAATATAATAGAATGGAATGGACTCGAATGGAATGGAATAGAAAGGAATGGACTCGAATGAAATGGAATGGAAAGGAATGGACAAAAATGTAATGGAATGGATCCAATGGAATGGAATCGAATAGAATGAAAAGGAATGGACCGGAATGGAATGGAATGGAATGGATTGGAATGGAATGGAATGGAATGTACACGCATGGAAGGGAATGGAATGGAAAGGAATAGATTGGACTCAAATGGAATGGAATGTTATGGTTTTGAAAGGAATGTAAAGTAATGGAATTGAATGGAACTGAAAGGAATGGAATGAAATGGAATGGACTCGAATGGAATGGAATGGAATGGAATGGAATGGTATGGAATGGAATGGAATGGTATGGAATGGAATGGAATGGACTCGAATGAAGTGGAATGGAATAGAATGGAATGGAATGGACTCGAGTGGAATGGAATGGAAAGGAATCGACTTGAAAGGAATGGAAAGGAAAGGAATGGATTCGAATGGAATGGAATGGACCCGAATGGAATTGAATGGAATCAAATGGAATGAAATGGACTGGAATGCAATGGAATGAAATTAAATGCGCTTGAATGGAATAGAATTTAATGGGATGGATTGGACTCAAAAGGAATGGAAAGTTATAGATTCGAAACGAATGGAATGGAATGGAATGGACTTGAATGGAATGGAATGGAATGGAATCTAATGTAGTACAATGGAATGGAATGGAACAGACTCGAATGTAGTAGAATGGGCTCGAATGGAATAGAATGGAATAGAAAGGAATGGACTTGAATGGAATGGAATGGCACAGACTCGAATGGAATGGAATGGAAAGGACACGACTGTAATGTAATGGAATCAAATGGATTGGACACGAATGCAATGGAATGGAACGGAATGGAATGGAATGGAATGGAACCGAATTGAACTGAATGGAATGGAATGGAATGGAAGAGAATGGAATTGAATGGAATGGACTCGAACGGAAAGGAAAGGAATTGAATGGACTCGAAAGGAATGGAATGGAATGGAATGCAATGGAATGGAAAGTGATGGAATGGAATGGAATGCACTTGATTGGAATGGAATAGGATCAAATGGAAGGTTAAGAGTTCGAGTGGAATTGAATGGTATGGAATCGACACAAGTGGAATGGAATGGAATGGAATGGACATGAAAGGAACAGAATGGAATGAAATTGAGTCGAGTGGAATGTAATGTAATGGAATGGAAAGGAATCAAATGGAATGGAAAGGAATTGACTCGAATAGAATAGGAAAGAATGGACGCAAATGAAATGGAATGCAATGAAATGGACTCTAATGGAATGTAATGGAAAGAAATGGACTCAAAAGGAATGGAATGGACTCGAATGCAATGGAACGGAATGGAATTGAATGTGATGAAAGGGAATGTAATCGAATCGAATGCAATGGAAAGGAATGGACACTAATGGAATGGAATGGAATGGAATGGAATGGACTGGAATGGAATGGAATGGAATGGAATGGACTTGAATGGAAAAGAAAGGAATCTAATGGAATGGACTCGAGTGAAATGGAATGGACACGAATGAAATGCAATGGAATAGAATGGACTAGAATGGAATTCAGTGGAATTTAATGGAATGGAGTGTAATGGAATGGAATAGGAATGGACTCGAATGGAATAGAATGGAATGGACTCGAATGAAATGGAATGCAATGGAATGGACTCGAATGGAATGGACACGAATGCAATGGAATGGAATTGAATGGACACGAAAAGAATGGAATGGAATGCAATGGAATGGACTCGAATGCAATGGAATGGAATGGACACGAATGGAATGGAATGGAATGGAATGGAATACAATAAAATGTACTCGAATGGAATGGAAAGAAAGGAATCGAATGGAATGAAATGCAATGGAATGGACAAGAATGGAACGGAATGGAATTGACTCGAATGGAATTGAATGGAATGGAATGGACTCGAATGGAATGCAATGGAATGGACTCGAATTTAATTCAATTGTTTCAAATGCAATGGAATGGAATGGAATGGACTCAAATGGAATGGAAAGGGCTCGAATGGAATGGAATGGAATGAAATGGAATGGACTCAAATGGAATGGAAAGGAACGGATTCGAATGGAATAGAATGGAATGGAATCAAATGGAATGGATTGGAATTAAATGGACTCGAATGGGAAGGAATGGAATGCACACGAATGGAATGAAATGGAATGGAGTCGAATGGAATGGAATGGAATGCAATGGACTCGAATGGAATGGAATGGACTCGAATGGAATGGAATGGAATGGAATGTACGCGAATGAAATTGAATGGAATTGAATGGAATGCAATGGACTCGTATAGAATAGAATGGAATGGATTCGAAAGGAATGGAGTGGAATGGAATGGACTTAATTGGAATGGAGTCGAATGGACTCGAATGGAATGGAATGGAATTGAATGGACTCGAATGGAATGGAATGGACTCGTATAGAATAGAATGGAATGGATTCGAAAGGAATGGAGTGGAATGGAATGGACTTAATTGGAATGGAGTCAAATGGACTCGAATGGAATGGAATGGAATTGAATGGACTCAAATGGAATGGAATGGAATGGAATGGAATGCAATGGAATCGAATGGAAAGGAATGTAATGGAAAGAAAAGGACTCGAATGGAACGGAATGGAATGGAATGGACTCAAATGGAATGGAATGGAATGGAATGCAATGGACTCGAGAGGAATGCAATTGAATTGAATGTACTCAAAAGGAATGGAAAGGATTGGAATGCAATGGAATGAACTCGAATGGAATGGAATGGAATGGACTCGAATGGAATGGAAGGGAATGGACACGAATGGAATGGACCGGAATGGAATAGAATGGAATGGAATGGAAAGGATTCGAATGGAATGGAAAGGAATGGAATGGAATGGACCAAATTTAAATGGAATGGAATGGAACGGAATGGAATGGAATGGAATGGAAGGGAATGGAATTGAATCAATTCCAATGGTATGCAATGGCATGGAATGGATTCGAATGGAGTGGAATGGAATGGATTCGAATGCAATGGAAAGGACACGAATGGAAGGGAATGGAATGTAATGGACTCGAATGGAATCGAATGGAATTTAATGAATGGACTCTAATGGAATGGAATGGAATGGACTCAAAAGGAATAGAATGGAAAGGATTTGAATGCAATAGAAAATAATGGAATGGACTCGAATGGAATGCAATGGAATCAAACGAAATGGAGTGGAATGGAATGGAGTCTAATGCAATAGAACGGAATTTACCGGATTGAACTCTAACGGAATTTACCAGATTGAACTCTAACGGAATGGACTCTAATGAAAGGGAAAGGAATGGGCTCAAATAGATTGGAATAGAATGGACATGAATGGAATGAAATGGAATGGAATGAATTGTGGAATGGAAGGAATGGAATGCCTGGAATGGAACGGACTTGAATGGAATAGAATGGAATGGAATGGACTGGACTCGAATGAAATGGAATGGAATGGAAACGAATGGAATGGAATCGAATCAAATGGAATGGATTGGATTGGACTCGAATGGAATAGAGTGAAATGGACCAGACTGGAATGCAATGGAATGCATTCGAGTGGAATGGAATGGAATGCAATTGACTCGAAAGGAATGGAGTGGAATGGATTCGAATGCAATGGAATGGATTGGAATTCACTTGAATGGAATAAAATAAAATGGAGTCGAATGTAATGGAATGGTCACGAATGGAATGGAGTGGAATGGAATGGACTCGAATGGAATGGAAAGGAATGAACTCGAATGGAATGGAATGGAATGGTGCGGAATGGACTCAAATGGAATGGAATTTAATGGACTCGATTCGAATGAAATACAATGGAATGGACTCGAATGTAATGGGATGGAATTTAATGGAATGGACTCTAATGGAATGGAAAGGAATGATTTGAATGGAATAGAATGGAATGGACTTGAATGGAATGGAATGCAATGGATTCAAATGGAATCAAATGGAATTCAATGCACTCAAATAGAACAGAATGTAACGGAATGGAATGGACTTGAATGGAACGGAAAGTAATGGAATGAAATGGACTCAAATGGAATGGAATGGAATGGAATGGACTCGAATGCAATGGAATGCAATGGAAAGGGATAGACTCGAATGGAATGCTGTTGAATGGAAAGGACTCGAAAGGAATGGAATGGAAAGGAATGGAATGGAATGGAATCCAATGGAATGGAATGGAATGGAATCGAATGGAATGGAATGGACTCGAATGGAATGGAAAGGAATCGACTCGAGTGGAATGGAATGGAAAGGAATGGACTCGAATGGAATGCAATGGAATGGTATGTACTCGAATGTGATGGAATGGAATGGAATGGAGTGCACTCCAATGGAATGGAATGGAACGTACCCGATTGGAATGGAATGGAATGGAATGGATTCGAATGGAAAGGCATGGAATGGAATGGCATGAACTCAAATATAATAGGATGAAATGGAATGGATTCGAACGCAATGGAATGCAAAGGAATGGACTCCAATGGAATGGAATGGAATGGAATGGAATGGAATGGAATGGAATGGACCTGAAAGGATTGGAATGGCATGGAATGGACCCGAATGGAATAGAATGAAATGTAATGGAATTGATTGGAATGGAATGGAATGGATTGGAATGGAATGGACTGGAATGGAATGGAATGGTATGGAATCGAATGGATTGGAATGGAATGGACTGGAATGGAATGGAATGGTATGGAATGCAATGGACGTGAATGGAAAAGAATGGAATGAAATGGAATGTATTCAAATGGAATGGAATGGAATGCAACCGAATGGAATGGAATTGAAGGTATTGAACTCGAATGGAATGGATTGGACACGAATGGAATGGAATGGAATAGATTGGACAAGAATGGAATGGAATGGAAAGGAAAGGAATGGACTTGAATGGAATGCCGTTGAAAGGAATGGACTCGATAGGAATGGAATGGAGAGGAATGGAATGGAATGGAATAGAATGGAATGGAATGGAATGAAATGGACTCGAATGGAGTGGAATGGACTCAAATGGAATGGAATGAAATGGACCAGAATGGAATGGAATAGAAAGGAATAGACTCGAATGGCATGGAATTGAATGGAATGGACTCCAGTGGAATGGAATGGACTGAACACGAATGGAATTCAATGGAATGGACTCCAATGGAATGGAATGCGGTGGAATGGACTCGAATGGATTGGAAAGGAATGGAAAAGAATGGAATGGAACAGAATGTACTCGAATGGAAAGGAATGGAATGGACTCAAATGGAATGGAATGGACTCAAATTTAATGGAATGGAATTTAATGGAATGGACTCTAATGGCATGGAAGGTAATGGAATGAAATAGACTCGAATGGAATGGAATGGAATGGAACGGAATGGACTCGAATGCAATGGAATGCAGTGGAATGGTTTCGACAGGAGTGGAATGGAATGGAATGGAATGGAGTGGACTCGAGTGAAAGGGAAAGCAATGGAATGGAACTCGAATGGAATGGAATGGAATGGACACGAATGTAATAAAATGGAGTGGAATGGACTCGAATAGAATGGAATGGATAGTAATGGACACGAATGTAATGGAAAAGAATGGAATGGACTTGAAGTGAATGGAATGGAATGGACTCAAATGGAATGGAATGGAACGGTATGGACTCGAAAGGAATGGCATGGAATGGACTCCAATGGAATGGAATGGAATGGAATATACCGAATGGAAAGGAGTCGAATGGATTGGTATGTAATGGACTCCAATGGAAAGCCATTGAATGGAATGGCATGGAATGGAATGGACTCCAATGTAATTGGATGGAATGGAATGCATTCGAATGGAATGGAATACAAAGAAATAGGCTCCAATGGAATGGAATAGAATTGTCCCGAATGAAATGGAAAGGAATGGAAGGGATCAGAAGAGAATGGATTGGTATGGAATGGAATGGAATGGAATGGAATAGAATGGAATGGACTGGAATGGAATGGAATGGTATGGAATGGAATGGACTTGAATGGAATAGAATGGAATGAAATGGAATGTATTCGAATGGAATGGAATAGAATGGAACCGAACGGAATTGAATCGAATGGAGTGAAGTTGAATGGAATGGGATGGAATGGACTCGAAGGGAATGGAATGAAATGAAATGGACTCGAATGGAATTGAATTGAATGGAATGGAATGGACTGGACACGAACGTAATGAAATGAAATGGAATGGCCTCTAATGGAATTGAATGGAATGGAGTGGAAAGGAATGGACTCGAATGGAATGCAGTTGACTGGAATGGACTAGAAAGGAATGAAATGGAAAGGAATGGAATGGAAGGGACTCGAATGGAGTGGAATGGACTTCTATGGAATGCAATGGAGTGGAATGGAATGGACCCAAATGTAAGAGAATGGAATGGAATGGTATTTACTGGAATGAAATGGAACAGAAAGGAATGGACTCGAGTGGTATGTAATGGAATGGAATGGACACGGAGAGAAAGGAATGGAATGGACTCAAATAGAATGGAGTGGAATGGGATGGACTTGAACGGAATTGAATTAAATTGAATGGACTCCAATGGAATGAAATGGAAATACGCGACTTGAATGTATTGGAATGGAATGGAATGGAAAGGAATTGCATGGAATGACATGGAATGGAATGGACTCAAATGTAATGGGATGGAATGGAATGGTCTCAAATGGAATGGAATGGAAAGGAATGGCATCCAATAGAATTGAATTGAATGGACCAAATGGAATAGAATGGAATGGATGAAATGTAATGTAATGGAATGAAATGGACAAGAATGGAATAGAATGGTATGGAATGGAATGGACTTGAACGGTATAGAATGGAATTAAAGGGAATGTACTCGAATAGAATGGAATGGAATGGACACAAATGGAATGGAATGGTATTGATTGAAGTCGAATGGAATGGAATGGATTGGAATGGATTCGAATGGATTGTAATGGAATGGAATGGAATCGAATGGAATTGAATGGAGTGGAATGGAAAGGTACGGACACGAATGGAATGGAATGGACCCGAATGGAATGGAATGGAATGGAATGGAATGGACCGCAATGGAATGGAATGGACCGGAATGGAATGGAATGGAATGGAATGGACTGGAATGTAATTGAATGGACTGGAATGCAACGGAATGGAATGGAATGGAAATGACTTGAATGGAGTAGAATGGAATGGAATGGATTGGAATCGAGTGGAACTGAGTGGAACAGACTCGAATGGAATGGAATGGACACAAACGGAATGGAGTGGAATGGAATGGAGTAGAATGCAAAAGAATGGAATTTACCAGATTGGACAGTAATGGAATGGACTCTAATGGAAAGGAGTGGAATAGACTTGAATCGAATAGAATGAAATGGAATGGACTCGAATTGAAGGGAATGGAATGGACCCGAATGGAATGGAATGGAAAGGATTGAAGTCGAATGGAATGGAATGGAATGGAATGGACTCGAATGGATTGGAATGGAATGGAATGGAATGGACTCGAATGGAAATGAATGGAATGGAATGTAAAGGAATGGACTTGAATGGAATGGAATGGACATGAAACGAATGGAATGGAATGGAAAGGAATGAAAACGAATGGAATGGAATGGAATGGAATGGACTTGAGTGGAATAGAATGGAATGGAATGGATTGTAATCGAATGGAATTCAATGGAACAGACTCGAATGGAATAGAATGGACACAAATGGAAAGGAGAGGAACGGAATGGAGTTGAATGCAGTAGAATGGATTTACGGATTGGACTCTAATGTAATGGATTCTAATGGAAAGGAATGAAATGGAATCCAATGGAATAGGATGGAATGGAATGGACTCGAATGGAATGGAATTGAATGGAATGGACACGAATGGAATGGAATGGAATGGAATGCAGTGGAATGGAATGGAATGGAATGGAATGGAAAGGAATGGAATGGAATGAATTTAATGGAATGATATAGAATGGAATGGAATGGAATGGACTCGAATGAAATGGAATGGACTGGAAACGGATGGAATGGAATGGATTCGAATGGAATGGAATGGAATGGACATGAGTGGAATTGAGTGGAATGGAATGGAAGGGAATGGATTCGAATGCAATGGAATGGACTGGAATTCACTTGAATGGAATAGAATGGAATGGAGTCGAATGTAATGGAATGGACACGCATAGACTGGAATGGAATGGAATGGACTCGAATGGAATAAAGTGGAATGGACTCGAATGGAATGGAATGCAATGGAATGAACTCGAGTGGAATGGAATGGAATGGATTCGAATGGAATGGTATGGACTCATAATGAAATGGAATGGAATGGATAGGACTTGAAAGAAATGTAATACAATGGAATGGACTCGAATGGAATGGACCTAAATGTAATGAAATGGAATGGAATGAAATGGACTCGAATGGAATGGAATGGAAATGAATGGACTCGAAAGGATTGTAATGGAATGGAATGGACTCAAAGGGAATGGAATGGAATGGACTCGAATGGAATAGAATGGAATGTTATGGTCTCAAATGGAATGGAAATGAATGTAATAGATTCCAAAGGAATGGAAAGGAATGTACCCAAATGGAATGGAATGGAATGGAATGGACAGGAATGGGATGCCATGGAATAGAATGGACTCGAATGTAGTGGGTTGGAATGGAATGGACTTGAATGGAATGGAATGGAAAGGAATCCAGTGGAATGGCATGGAATGGACTTGAATGGAATGGAAAGGAATGGAATGGACCCAAATGGAATGGACTCGAATGGAATGGAATGGAAAGGAATGGAATGAAATGGAATGCAATGGACTCAAATGGAATAGAATGGAATGGAATGGAACCGAATGGAATGGAATGGAGTGGAATGCAATGAAAGGAAAGGAATGGAAACAACTTCATTGCAATAGAATGGAATGGAATGGATTGGAATCAAATGGAATTGAATGGAATCGAATAAACTAAAATGGAATGGAGTGGAATGGAACTGAGTCGAAAGCAATAGAATGGAATATTCCGGATTGGACTCTAATGGAATGAACTCTAACGGAAAGGAATGAAAAGGACTCCAATGGAATAGAATGGAAAGGAATGGACTCGAATGGAAGGTAATGGAATGAACCCGAATTGAATGGATTGTACTCGAACGGAATGGAAAAGAAAGGACATGAATGGAATGGAATGGAATGGAATGAAATGGACCGGAATGGATTGGAATGGAATGGAATGTATGGAATGGAATTGAATGCGCTTGAATGGAATAGAATTGATTGTACTCAAATGAAATGGAATGTAATGGATACGAGTGGAATGGAATGGACTCGAATGGCATGCAATGGAATAGAATGTACTCGAATGGAATGGAATGGAATTTTATCAAATGGACTCTAATGGAATGGAATGCAATGGACTGCAGTGGAAAAGAATGGAATGGAATGGACTCGAATAGAATGGAACGGAATGGACTCGAATTTTATGGACTCGAATGGAGTGGAATTGAATGGAATGTATTCGAATGAAATGGAATGGAATGGAATGGACCCCCATGGAATGCAGTTGAATTGAATTGACTCGAAAGGAATGGAATCAAATGGAA
This sequence comes from Homo sapiens, assembly GCF_000001405.40. Taxonomy (NCBI): domain Eukaryota; kingdom Metazoa; phylum Chordata; class Mammalia; order Primates; family Hominidae; genus Homo; species Homo sapiens. Next base: position 135,355 of record NW_021160000.1, read on the forward strand.
TGGAATGGAATGGATTCGAATGGAGTGGAATGGACTCGAATGGTATGGAATGGACTTAAATGGAATGGAGTGGAAAGGAATCTACTCGAGTGGAAAGGAGTGGAATGGAATCGACTCAAATGAAATGCAATGCAATTGATTGGACTCAAAAGGAATGGAAAGGAATAGAATGGACTCGAATGGAATAGAATGGAATGGAAAGGAAGGGACGCGAATGGAATGGAATGGAATGGTTTTGAATACAATGCAATGTAATGGACTCGAATCTAATGGAATGGAATGGAATTTAATGGAGAAGAATGGACGGGAATGGACTCGAACGGAATGGACTCGAAAGATACGTAAAGTAATGGAATGAAATGGACTCGAATTGAATGGAAACTAATGGAATGAAATGTACTCAAATGGAATGGAATGGAATGAAATGGAAGGGAATGCAATGGAATGGAAGGGAATGGAATGGAATGGAAGGGAATGGAAAGGAACGGAATGGAATAGAATGGAACAGAGTGAAATGGACTTGAACAGCTTGGAGTGGAAAGAAATGGAAGGGAATGGAATGGAAGAGAATGGAATGGAATGAAATGAAATGGAAAGGAATGGAATGGAATGGATTAGAGTGGAATGGATAGGACTACAATGGAATGGAATGGAATGGAATGGAATCGAATTGAATGGAGTCAATGGACTCGAACGGAATGGACTCCCATGGAATGGAATGGAATGGAATGCACTAGAGTGGAATGGAATGGCATGGAATGGAATGCACTCCAATGGCATGAATTGGGATTGAATCGAATGGAACAGAAAGTAATGGATACGAATAGAATGGAAAGGAATGAAATGGACTCGAATGGAATGGAATGGAATTGAATGGATTCGAATCGAATGGAATGAAATGGAATGGAATCAAAAGCAATGGAATGGAATGGACTCGAATTGAATGGAAGGGGATGGAATGGAATGGAATGGCATGGAATGGAATGGAAGGGAAGGGAATGGAATGATACAGAATGGAATGGACTCGAAAGGAATGGATTGGATAGGAATGGACTCAAAAGGAATGCAGTGGAATGGACTCGAATGCAATGGAATGGACTCGAATGGAATGGAATTGAAAGGAAACAACTCTAGTGGAATGGAATGGACTCGAATGGAATAGATTGGAATAGAATGAAATGGAATGGAATGGACTCGAATGGAATGCAACGGAATGGACTTGAATGGAATGGAGTGGAGTGAAATGGACACGATTGCAATGGAATGGAATGTAAAGGACTCGAATGGAATGGAATGGAGTAGAATGGAGAAGAAGGGAATGGAATGACAGGGAATGGAATGGAATGGAATGGAATGGACTCGAAAGTAATGGAATGGAATGGAGTCGAATGGAATGGAATAGACTCGAAAGAAATATAATTTAATTTACTGGAATGGACACTAATTGAATAGAATCTAATGGAATGGAATGGAAAGGACTCAAATTGAATGGAATGGAATGGAAAGGACTCAAATTGAATAGAATGGATTGGACTGGAATGGAATGCAATGCAATGGAATGGACTCGAAGGCAAAGGAATGCAATGCACTCGAATGGAATGTAATAGAGTGGACATGAATGGAATGGAATGGAATGGAATGAACTTGTATGGAATAGAATTGAATTGAATGGATTGGACTCTAATGAAATGGAAAGGAATGGAGTCGAAAGGAATGGAATTGAATCGAATGGAATGGAATCCATTTGAATGGAAAGGCATGGAATGGACTCAAGTGCAAAGGAATGGAATGGAATGGAGTCGAATGGAATAGAATGGAATGGAATGGAATCGAATGAAATGGAATGGAATGGAATGGAATTGACTCGAATGAAATGGAATGGAAACGAATGGAATGGACTGAAATGAAATGGAAACAAATGGAATACAATGGAAGGGACTTGAACGGAATGGAATGGAATGGAAGGGAATGGAATGGACTCGAATGGAATGGAGTGGAATGGACACGAATGGAATGGAAAGGACTCTAATGGAATGGAATGGAATGTACCCAAATAGAATGGAATGAAATGGAATGTACAGGAATGGAATGGAATGGAATGGAAAGGAATGGACTGGAATGGACTCGAAGGCAATGTAAAGGAATGGATTCAAATGGAATGGCATAGACACCAAAGAAACGAATGAAATTAAATTGAATGGATTCTAATTGAATTGAATCAAATGGAGTGAAATGGAAAGGACTCGAATTGAATAGAAGGGAATGGATTCGAATGGAATGGAATGCAATGGAATGGACTCAAATGCAATTGAATGGATTGGACTCGAATGGAATGGAATAGAATGGACATGAATGGAATGGAATGGATAGGAATGGCATGGAATGGAATGGAATGGAGTGGACTAGTATGGAATAGAATAGAATTGAATGAAATAGAATCGAATGAAAGGGAATGGAATGGATTCGACTCGAGTGGAATGGAATGGAATGGAATGGAGTGGACTCGAATGAAATGGAATGCAATGGAATGGACTCGAATGGAATGGTCTCGAATGGAATGGAATGGAATGGAATACAATTGAATGCACTGGCATGGAATGGACTCGAGTGCAAAGCAATGGAGTGGAATGAACTCGAATGGAATAGAATGGAATGGAATGGACTCGAATGAAAAGGAATGGAATGGAATTGACTAGAATGGAAAGGAATGGACACGAATTGAATGGGATGGAATGGAATGTACTCGAATGGAATAGAATGGAAGGGAATTGAATGGAATATAATGCAATGGAATGGACCCGAATGGAATGGCATGGAATGGAATCGAATGAAATGGAATGGACTGGACTGGAATGGAATGGAATGGAATGGAATAGAATGGACTCAAATGGAATGGAATGGAATGGACTCAAATGGAATGGAATGAAATGGACTCAAAAGGCATGGAATTGAATAAAATGGAGTCGAGAGGAATGGAATGGAATTTAATGGATTGGACACTAATGGAATGGATTGGGATGGATTCGAATGGAATAGAATGGAATGGACTTGAATTGAATGGAATGGAATTCAATCATCTCGAAAGTAATGGAATGGAAAGGACTTGAATGGAAAGGAATGGAATGGAATGGACGCGAATGGAATGGAATGGAATGGAAACTACTCGAGTGGAATGGACTGGAGTCGAATGTTATGGAATGGAATGGAATGGACTCGAATGGTTTGGAATGGAGTATAGCCGAATGTGATGGAATGGAATGGGAAGGAATGGACTCGAATGGAATGGAACGGAATGGAATGGAATGGACCTGAATAGAATGGAATGGATTGGACTCCAGTGGCATGGAATGGAATGGAATGGACTCGAGTGGAATGGAATGGAATTTAAAGAAATGGACTCTAATGGAATGAATTGAAATGGACTCGAATGTAATAGAAAGGAATGGAATTGAATTGAATGGAATGGAATTCAATGGTCTTGAAAGTAATGTAATGGAATGGAAAGGACTCGAATGGAATGGAATGGAATGGAATGGACAAGAATGGAATTGAAAGGAATGAAAATGACTCAAGTGGAATGGAATGGAGTCGAATGGTATGGAATGGAAGGGAATGGACTCGAATGGACTGGAACGGAATGTACACGAATGGGATTGAATAGAATGAAAATGAATGGACTCGAATGGAATGGAACGGAATGGAATGGATCCGAATGGAATGGAATGGAATGCACTCAAATGGCATGGAATGCAATGGACACGAATGGAATGGAATGGAATGGAAAGGACTCAAATGTAGTGGAATGGAAAGAATTGGACTCAAATGGAATGGAATGGAATGGACCTGGATGGAATGGAATGGAAAGGAATGGGATGGAATGGAATGTAATGGAAAGGATTTGAATGGAATAGCATGGAATGGAATGGATTGGACTCTAAAGGAATGGAATGGAATGGACTTGAATGGAATGGAATGGAATGGAAAGGAATGGGATGGAATGGTATGTAATGGAAAGGACTTGAATGGAATAGAATGGAATGGCATGGATTGGACTCTAAAGGAATGGAATAGAATGGACTTGAATGGAATGGAATACACAGGAATGGAATGGAATGGAAGGGACACCAATGGAATTGAATGCAATGGAATGGAACAGACTTCAACGGAATAGAATGGAATTTAATGGAATGGACGTTAATGGAAAGGAATGAATTGTTCTTGAATGGAATGCAGTGAAATGGACTCGAATGGAATGGAATGAAATGGAATAGAATGCACCTGATTGGAATGGAATGGAATGGAATGGAATGGAATGGAATGGAATTGACCGGAATGGGATCTTATGGAATGGAATGGAATGGATTGGAATTTAATGGAATGGAAAGGAATTGAATGCAGTTGAATGGAATAGAATAGAATGGAATGGAAAGGACTCGAAGGCCTTGGAAAGGAATGGAATAGAATGGAATGGAATGGACTTGAATGGAATGGAATGGAATTTAATGGAATGAAATCTAATTGAATGGAATCTAATGGAATCGAAAGGAATGCACTCGAATGGAAGAGAATGGAATGGACATGAATGGAATGGAATGCAAATGAACGGACTCGAATCGAATGGATTGGAAAAGACTCGAATGGAATGGAATAGATTTTAGTTGTCTCAAAAGGAATGGAATGGAAAGGAATGGAATGGAATTGAATAGATTTTAGTTGTCTCAAAAGAATGGAATGGAAAGTAATGGAATGGAATGGAATGGAACGGAATGGAATGGAACAGAATGGAATTGACTCGAATGAAATTGAAAAGAATGGACCCAAATGGAATGGAATGGATTGGAATGGACTCGAGTGGAATGGAATGGATTGGAATGGACTCGAATGGAATGGATTTCAATGGAATGCACTCGAATGTAATGGAATGGAATGGACTCGAATGGAATGCAGGGGAATGGCCTCGGATTGAATGGAATGGAATGCCTTCGAATGGAATAGAATGGAATGGATTTGAAAGGAATGGAATGGAAGAAAGTGGACTCAAACGGAATGGAGTGTAATGGAATTGAGTGGATAGGAATGGAAATGAATGGACGCAAAAGGAATGAAATGTTATGGAAGGGAATGGATTCGAATACAATGGAATGTAAGGGAATGAAATAGACACGAAAGGAATGGAATGGATTGGAATAGACTCAAATGAAATAGAATGGAAAGGAATGAATTCGAATGGAATGGAGTAGAAAGAAATCGCATGGAATGGAATGTAATTGAATGGACTCAATATGACAGGAATGTAATGGAATGGACTAGAGTTGAATGGAATGCAATATAATGGAATGAAATTGACGTGAATGTAATGGAATGGAATAGAATGGCCTCGAACGGAATGGAATGGACTGGACTCCAATGGAATGGAATTGCATTTAATGGACTCGAAAGAATGGAATGGAGTGGAATGGAAAGGACTCAAATGGAATGGAATGGACTCGAATGGAATGGAATGGACATGAATGGAATGGAAAGGAGTCGAGTAGAGTGGAATATAATGTAATGGAGTGGATTCGAATGGAATGGAATTAAATGGAATGGACTCAAATGGAATGGAATGGACTGGATCCAAAGACATGGAATGGACTGGAATGGACTGGACTGGAATGGAATGGACTCTAATGGAAAAAATGCAATGGAACGGAATGGACTCGAATGGATGGAATGAAATGGAATGGAGTGGAAATGAATGGAAAGGAATGGAATGAAATGGACTCGAAAGGAATGGAATGGAATGGAATACAATGGAATGGAATGGAATGGAATGGACTGTACAGGAATGAAATGGAATGGAATGGAATGGATTCGAATGGAATGGAGTGGAATGGACACAAATTGAACCGAGTTGAATTGAATGCACTCGAATCAAACGATTGAAATAGAATGGAATGGAATCGAATGGAATGCAAAGTACTGGAATGGAATGGAGTCAAATGGAATGAAAAGTACTGGAATGAAATGGATTCGAATGGAATGGAATGGAAGGAAATGGACTCGAAAGGAATGGAATGGAATGGAATGGACTCGAATGGGATGGAATGGAATGGACTCGAATGGAATGGAATGGACAAGAAAGGAATGGAATGGAATGGAAACGACTCGAGTGGAGTGTAATGGAAGAGAATGGACCCGAATGGAATGGAATCGAATAGAATGGACGTGAATGGGATGGAATTGAATGGACCAGAATTGAATGGAATGGAATGAAACCGAATTTACTCGAATGGAATGGAATGGAATGGAATGCACATGAGTGGAGTGGAATGGAATGGAATGGAGTAGATTGGAATAGAATGGAATAGACTGGAGTGGAATGGAATGGAAGAGAATAGAATGGACATGAATGGAATAGAATGGAATGGAATGGAATGGACTCTAAAGGATTGTAATGGAATGGAATCGAATGGAATGGAATAGAATGGAACGGAATGGAATGAAATAGACTCGAAAGGAATGGAATGGAATCGAATGGACTCGAAAGGAATGGAATGGAAAAAAACGGAATGGAATGCAATGGAATGGACTCGAATGGATTGGAATGGAATGGAGGAGAATTAAATGGAATTGGCTGGAATTGAATGGAATGGACTGGAAACGACTCTTTAGCATTGGAAAGGAAAGGAATGGAATCGAATGGAATAGAATGGAATGGAATTAACTCACATCCAATGGACCCAAATGGAATGGAATGGAATGGACTGCAATGGAATGGAGTGGAATGGAATGGAATGGAATGGAAGGGAATGGCCTCAAATGGAATGGGATATAATGGATTGGAATCTAATGGAATGGAACAGAATGGAATGGACTCGAATGGAATACAATGGAATTGACTCGAATGGAATTGAATGGAATGGACCCGAATGGAATGGAAGGGAATGAAATGGACTGGAATGGAATGGAACGGAGTGGAATCTAATGACTTGAATGAAATGGAACGGAATGGAATGGATTCGAATAGAATGTAATGGAATGGTCTCGAATGGAATGAAATTGAAAGGAATAGACTCGAATGGAAAAGAATGGAATGGACTCGAATGGAATGAGTTGGAATGGAATGGAATAGAATGGAATCAAATGGAATAGAATCGAATGGAATGGACTGGACTCAAATGGAATGGGTTGGAGTGGAATGGGTTCGAATGGAATGGACTCAAATGGAATAGAATGGAATGGAATGGACTCCAATGTAATGGATTGGAATGGAATCCAATGAAATGAAATGCATTCGAATGGAATGAAATAGAAAGGAATGGACTCGAATGGAATAGAATGGAATGGAATGGAATGGGCATGAATGAAATGGAATGGAATGGACTCAAATGGTTTCGAATGGAATGACACCGAATGGAAAGGAATGGACTCGAATGGAATAGAATGCAATGGAATGGAATGGACTCAAATGGAATGGACTCAAATGGAATCGAATGGAATGGCATCGAATAGAATGGAGAAAACGGAATGGACCCGAATGGAATGCAGTGGACTAGAAAGGACTGGAATGGAATGGAATGGAATGGAATGGAATGGAATGGACTCGAATGGAAATAATGCAATGGAAAGGAATAGACTCGAAAGGAATGGAAAGGAGTGGACAAGAATGGAAAGATATGGAATGGAATGGAATTGAATGCAATGGAATGGACTCGAATGGAATGGAATAGAATGGAATGGAATGCAAAGGAATGGAATGTACTGGACAGGACTGGAGTGGAATGGAAGGGAATGGACTCAAATGGAATGGAATGGCATCAAATGGAATGGAGAAAATGGAATGGACTCGAATGGAGTGGAATGGAATGGAATGGACCCGATTGGAATGGAATGAAATGGACCCGAATGGAATGGAATGGAATTGCGTGGAATGGAATGGACTTGAATGTAACGGAATGGACTCGAATGGAATTGAATGGAATGGACTCAAAAGGAATGGAGTGGAAAGGAGTGGACTCGAATAGAATGGAGTGAATTGGACTCGAATGCAAAAGAATGGAATTGAATGGACTCGAATGGAATGGAATGTAAGAGAAAAGAATGGACTCGAATGGAATGGAATGGAATGGAATGAAATAGACTCGAATGGAATGGAATGGAAAGGAAAGGAATCAAATGGAATGGAATTGAAAAATGAAATGTAATGGAAAGGAATGGTATGTTTTCGAAAGGAATGCAATTGAATTGAATGCAATGGAATGGCCTCGAATGGAATGGAATGGACTCGAATGGAAAGGAATAGAAGGGAATCGACTCGAGTAGAATGGAATGGAATGGAGTGGACTCGAATGGAATGGAATGGAATGGAATGGAATGGAATGGAATAGACCCGAATGGAATGGAATGGAATGGAATAGACCCGAATGGAATGGAATGGAATGTTCCTGGATGGGATAGAATGGAATGGAATGGACTCGAATGATATGGAATGGAATGGACTCGAGTGGCATGGAATGGAATGCAATGGACTCGAATGGAATGGAATGGAATGGAAGGAACTCGAATGGAATGGAATGGAATCTAATTTACTGAAATGGAATGGACTGCACTCGAAAGTAATGGAGTGCAATGGAATGGAATGGACCCGAATGGAATGGGATGGAATGGAATGGACTGGAATGGAATGGATTGGAATGGAATGGACTTGAATGGAAAATAATGGAAATTAATCCAATGGATTCCAAAGAAATGGAATGGAATGGACACGAATGGAATGGAATTGTCTCTTAAGGAATGGAATGTAATTTAATTTTACAAACACTAATGGAATGGAATCTAATGGAACGGAATGGAAAGGATTCAAATGGAATAGAATGGAATGTACTCGAATGGAGTGGAATGCAAACTAATGGACTCAAATGTAATGGAATGGAATGGACTCGAATGGAATGGAAAGGAATGGTCTCGAAAGAATGGAAAGGAATGCAGTGGAATGGACTCCAAAGGAATGGAATGGAATTGACTCGAATGGAATTGAATGGAATGGACCAGAATGGAATGGATTGGAACGTACTTGAAAGGAATGGAATGATATGGAAACGAGTGGAATGGAATTGAATGGAATGGAGTGGAATGTAAAGGAAGTGAATGGAACGGAATGGAATGGAATGCAGTGGACTCTAATGGAATGGAATGGATTGGAATGGAATGACTCAAGTGGAATGGAATTGAAAGGAATGGACTCGAATGGAATGTAATGGACAAGCATGGAATGGAATTGAATGGAATGGAATGGATTCGAATAAAATGGAATGGAGGGGAATGGACTCGAATGGATTGGAATTGAATGGAGTGGAATGGAATAGAATGAAATGGAATGGAAAGGAATGGACTCGAATGGAAAAGAATGTACTCGATTGGAATTGAATGGAATGGAACGGATGCAAATGCAATGGAATGCAATGGACTTGAGTGGAATGGATTGGAATGGAACGCACTCGAATGGAGTTGATTGGAATGGAATGGACTCGAATGGAATGGAAAGGACTCGAATGGAATAGAATGGAATGGACTCGAATGGAATGGAATGGAAATGACTCGAATGGAATAGAATTTAGTGGAAAGGAATGGATTCGAATTAATAGAATTTAATGAACTTGAATGGAATGGACTCAAATGGAATGGAATTGACTCTAATGGAATGCAGTGGAATGGACTCGAATGCAATGGAATGAAATTGAATGGACTCAAATTGAAGGGAGGGTAATCGAAAGGAATGGACTCGAATGGAATGGAATGAAATGGACTCGAATGGTCTGGAATGGAATGGCATCGAATGGAATGGATTGGAATGGAATGGAATGGAATCAAAAAGAATGGAATGGAATGGAATGGAATGGACAAGAATGGAATGGAATGGAACGGATTCTAATGGAATGAAATGGACTCGAATGGAATGGAATGGAATCAACTCAAGTGGAATGGAATGGAAAGGAATCAAATGGAGTCAAACGTAATGGAATGGAATGGAATTCCCTCGAATGGAATAGAATAGAATGGACTCAAATGGAGTGGAATGGAAGGGAGTGGACTTGAATGTAATGGAGTGTAATGGACTTGAATGTAATGGAATGGAATTGAAGGGACTCAAAAGGAATGAAATGTTATGGAAGGCAATGGATTCGAATGCAATGGAATGTAAGGGAATGAAATAGACACGAAAGGAATGGAATGGAATGGAATCGACTCGAATGCAACAGAATAGAAAAGAATGAACGCGAATAGAATGGAGTAGAAAGGAATCATATGGAATGGAATGGAATGGAATGGACTCAACAGGAAAGGAATGTAATGGAATGGACTAGATTTGAATGGAATGCAATATAATGGAATGAAATTGACTCGAATGGAATGGAATGGAATAGAATGGCCTCGAATGGAATGGAATGGAATGGACTCGAATGGAATGGAACTGCATTTAATGGACTCGAAAAGAATGGAATGGAGTGGAATGGAAAGGACTCGAATGGAATGGATTGGACATGAATGGAAATAAAAGGAATCGACTGGAATGGAATGTAATGTAATAGAGTGGATGCGAATGGAATGGAGTTGAATGGAATGGACTCGAATGGAATGGAATGGATTGGACCCAAAGAAATGGAATGGACTGGAATGGACTGGACTGGAATTGAATGGAATGGAACGGAAAGGACTCTAATGGAAAAAATATAATGGAATCGAATGAACACGAATGGATGGAATGGAATGGAAAGGAGTGGAAATGAACGGAAAGGAATGGAATGGAATGGACTCTAATTGAATGGAATGGTATGGAATGGAATGGAATGGAATGGACAGGAATGGAATGGAATGGAATGAAATGGAATGGAAGGGAATGGATTCGAATCGAAAGCAATAAAATGGAATGTACACGAATGGAATGGAAAGAAACGGACTCAAAAGCAATAGAATGGAATGGCCTCGAATGGAATGGAAAGAAATGGAATGGAATGGAAAGGAATGGAGTGGAATGGAATGGAATGGACTTGAAAGGAACGGAATGGACTGGAATGTAGTGTAATGGACTCGAATGGAATGGAATAGAAGCGAATCAACTCGATTTGAATGGAATGGAATGGAATGGCCCCAGATGGAATGGAATGGAAAGGAATGGAATGCATTTGAATGGAACAGAATGGACTCAAATGGAATTAAATGGAATGGACTCGCATGGAATGGACTGGACTCGAATGGATTGGAATGGAATGGACTCGAGTGGAATGGAATGGAATCGAATAGACTCCAGGGGAATGGAGTGGAATGGAATGGAATGGAATGGAATCGAATGGGATGCAAAGGAATGGAATGGACTTGACTGGAACGGAAAGGAAAGGAAAGGAGTCGAACATAATGGAATGGAATGGTCTCGAATGGAATGGAATTGACTCAAATGGAATGGAATGGAATATACTCAAATACAATGGAATGAACTCAAATGTAATGTAATGGAATGGACTTGAATGGAAAAAGTGGAATTGAATGGAATGGACTCGAATGTAATGGAATTGAATGCACTCAAATGGAATAGAATGGAATGGACTCGAATGGAATGGAAGGCAATTTAACGGAATCATATGGAATGGAATGGTATGGATTCGAATGGATTGGAATGGAATGGAAAGGACTCGAATGGATTGGAATTGAATTGAATGGACTCGAAAGGAATGGAAGGAAATACGATGGAATAGACTCGAATGGAATGGAATGGAATGGAATGCAGTCGAATGGAATGGAATGGAATCGAAGGGAATAGGGTGGAATGGAATGATCGCGAATTGAAAGGAATGGAATGGTATGGACTCGAATGGAATGGAATGGAAAGGACTCGAATGGAATGGAATGAAATGGAATGGAATTGAATAGACTCGAATGGATTTGAATGGAACAGAAAGGACTCGAATGGAATGGAATTTTTTGAAAAGGAGTTGAATGGAATGGAATATAATGGAAGGATCTAGAGTAAAATGAATTGGACAGGAATGGATTTGAATGGAATGAAATGGAATTGAATGAACACTAATGGAATAGAATGTAATGGAATGTAATAGACTCGAATGGAATGGAATGTAATGCAAAGGAATGGACTCGAAGGGAATAGAATGGAAAAGACCCGAATGGAATTGAATGGAATCTAATGGAATAAAATGGAATGGAATGGACTCGAATGGAATGGAATGGAGACAAACGGAATGGAATGGAAGTGAAATTAATGGACTCGAATGGAAGGAAATGGAATGGATTGAACTCTAATGGAATGGAAGATAATGGAATGGAATGGACCCGAATGTAATGGAATATAATGGAAAAAAATGGACTCGAATGGAATGGAATGGAATGGACTCGAATGGAATGGAATTTACTCGAATGGAATTGAATGGAATGGAATGGACTCAAATGAAATGGAATGGAATGGACTCGAATGGAATGAAATGGAATGGACTCGAATGGAATGGAATGGATTTGACTCGAATGGAATTGAATGGAATGCACCCGAATGGAATGTAATGGAATGGAATGAACTCGAATGAAATGTAGTGGAATTGAATGGACACAATTTGAATGGAATAGACTCGAATGGAACGGAATGGAATGGATTCAAAAGGAATAGCATGGATTGGAATGGATTCGAATGGAGTCTAAAAGAGTGGACTCAAATGGAATGGAATGGACTCGAACGGAATGGAATGGAATGTAGTCGAAATGAATAGAATGGAATGGAATGGAATGGACTCGAATGCAATCAAATGCAATGGAGTCGAATCAAATGGAGTGGAATGGAATGGACTTGAATGGAATGGAGTGGAATGGATTCGAATGGAATGCAATGGAATTGAATGGACTCGAAGGAATGTAGCCGATAGGAATGGATTCGAATGGAATGGAATGTAATGGAATGAAATGGACACGAATTGAATGGAATGGAATGGTATGAAACGGAATGGAATGGAAGGCAATGGATTCGAATGGACTCGAATGGAATGCAATTGAATTGAATGGACTCGAAAGGAATGAAAGGAATGCAATGCAGTGGACACGACAGGAATGGAATGGAATGGACTCGAATGGAATGGAATACTGTTGAATGGAATGGATTGGAGTGGAATCAACTCAAGTGTAATGGAACATGGAATGGAATGGAATGGACAAGAGTGGAATGTAATGGAAAGGACTCTAATGGAATGGAACGAAATGGAATGCAATGGGCTCCAGTGGAATGGAATGGACTCAAATCGAATGGAATTCAATGGACTAGAATGGAATGGAAAAAACTCGAATGGAATGGAATGGACCCGAAGAAATGGAAGGGACTGGAATGGAATGCAATGGAATGGAATGGAATGGAATGGACGAGAATGGAATGGAATGGATTTGAATGGATTAGAATGGAAAAGAATGGACTGAAATGGAATGGAATTGAATGGAACCTAATGGAATGGAATTGCCTCTAATGGAATGGAATGGAATTTAACGGAATGGATACTAACGAAATCTAGTAAAATGGAATGGAACAGAATGGACTCAAAATGAATAGAATGGAATATACTCGAATGGAATGGAATGCAATGGAATGGACTCGAATGGAATAGAATGGAATGGAATGAAATGGAATGGTGTGGAATGGACCTGAATAGAATGGAAAGTAATGACTCATATGGAATTGAATGGAATGGAATGGAATGAAAGTGAATGGAATGGAATGGAATTCAATGGACTCAAATGGAATGGAATGGAATGGAACGGAATTGAATAGACTCGAATGGAATTGAGTGGAATGCAATCGACTCGAAAGGAATGGAATGGAAGGAACTCGAATAAAATGGAATGCAATGGAATGGACTTGAATGGAATGGAATGGTATGGAATGAACACTAATGGAATGGAATAAAATGGAATTGAATTGACTCGAATGGAATGCAATGTAAAGGAAAGGAATGGACTTGAATAGAATGGAAAGGAATGGACTCGAATGGAAGAGAATGGAATCAAATGGACTCGAATGGAATGGAATGGACTCGAATGGAATGGAATGGACTCGAATGGAATAGAATGGAATGGAATTTAATGGACTCGAATGGAGTGGAATGGAATGAATTGTACTCTAATGGAATGGAAGGTAATGGAATGGAATGGACTCGAATGGAATGGAATGCAATGGAAAGGAATGGACTCAAATGGAATGGACCCGAATGGAATGGAATGGAATTTAATAGAATGTATTCTAATGGAATCTAGTCCAATGGAATGGATTGGAATGGAATAGAATGGAATGTACTCGAATGGAATGGAATGGAATGAAATTGACTGCAATGGAATTGAAGTGTATGGACCCGAATGGAATGGAGTGGAATGGAATTTCCTCGAATAATATGGAATGGAAAGGTAGAGACTCAAATGGAATGGAATTGAATGGAATGGACTCGAATGGAATGGAATGGAATGCACTCGAATGGAATGGAATGGAATGGACTCAAATGGAATAGAATGGAAGTGAATGGACTCAAATGGAATAGAATGGAAGTGAATGGACTCGAATGTAATGGAATGGAGTGGACTCAAGTGGAATGTATTGGACTCGAATGTAATGCATTTGAATGCAATGGAATTGAATGGAATATAATGGAATGGACTGGACTGGAATGGAATGGAAATGAATGGACTCGAAAGGAATAGAATGCAATGGACTCGAATGGAATGGAGTGAAATGGAATGGACTCAAATATAATGGAGTGGCATGGACTCGAGTGGAATGGAATGGAATTGAAAGGACTCGAAAGGAATGGAAAGGAATGGACTCGAGTGGATTGGAATGGAATGGAATGGACACGAATGAAATGGAATGGAATGAAATGGAATAGAATTGAATCAAAAGGAATGTAATGGAATGAAATGGACTCAAATGGAATGGAATGGAAAGTAAAGCACTCAAAGGAATGGAATGGAATGGAATGGACTCGAATGGAATGCAATTGAATTGAATGGACTTGAAAGGAATATAATGTAATGTAATGTAAAGGAATGTAATGGAATGGAATGGAACGGAATGGACTCAAATGAAATTAAATGGAATGGACTCGAATGGAATGGACTGGACTCGAATGGATTGGAATGGAATAGACTCTAGTGGAATGGAATGGAATCGAATGGACTCGAGGTGAATGGAATGGAATGGACTCGAAAGGTATGGAATGGACTCGAATGGAGTGGAAAGGAATGGAATGGACTCGACTGGAACGGAATGGAGTGGAACGGAATGGAATGGACTCGACTGGAATGGAATGGAATGGAAAGGAGTCAAACGGAATGGAATGGAAAGGAGTCAAACGTAATGGAATGGAATGGAAAGGTCTCGAATGGAAAGGAATGGACTCAAACGGAAAGGAATAGAATTTACTCAAATGCAATGAAATGGACTCAAATGTAATGGAATGGAATGATATGGACTCTAATGGAAAAACTGGAATTGAATGGAATGGACTTGAATATAATGGAATGGAATGGATTCGAATAGAATTAAATGGAATGTACTCGAAAGGAATGGAATGCAATTGAATGTAATCTTATGGAATGGAATGGAATGGACTCGAATGGATTGGAATGGAATGGAAAGGACTCGAATGGATTGGAATGGAATTGAATGGACTCGAAAGGAATGGAATGGAATACGGTGGAATGGACTCAAATGGAATGGAATGGAATGGAATGCAGTCAAATGTAATGGAATGGATTCGAAGGCAGTGGAATGGAAAGGAATGGACTCGAATGGAATGGAAAGGAATGGTATGGACTCAAATGGAATGGAATGGAATATAATCGAATGGAATGATATGCAATGGAAAGACCTTGAATTGAGTGGAATGGAAAGGACCCTAATGGAATGGAATGGAATGGAATGTTCTCAAAAGAATGGACTGGAAAGCAATTAAATGGACTTGAATGGATTGGAATGGAATGGACTCGAACGGAAATTAATGGACTCTATAGGAATGAAATGGAATGGAATGGAATGCATTCGAATGGAATGGAATGGAATGGAATGGAATGGAACGGACTCGAATGGAATGCAATGGAATGGACTTGAATGGAATGGAATGGAATTCACTCGAATGGAATTGAGTGGAATGGACCGAATGGAATGAATTGTAATGGAAAGGAATGGACTCGTATTGAATGGAATGGAATGGAATGGAATGGACTCGAATGAAATTTAATGGAATTGAATGGACACGAATTGAATGGAATGTACTCGAAAGGAACAGACTCGAATCGAATGGAATGGAATGGATTCAAAAGGAATAGAATGGATTGGAATGGACTCGAATGGAATGGAATGGAATGTACTCATATGGAATGGAATGGACTCAAATGGAAAGGAATGGAATGGGCTCGAATCGAATAGAATGGAATGGAATGGACTCGAGTGGAATGAAATGGAATGCAGGCGAATGGAATGGAGTGGGCTGGAATGGACTCAAAAGTAATGGAGTGGAATGGATTCGAATGGAAAGGAATGGAACTCAATGGACTAGAATGGAATGGACTGTAACCAATTGGAATGGATTAGAATGGAATGGAATGGAATGGAATGGACCCTAATGGAATGGAATGGAATTGAAAGGAATGAAATGGAATGGATTGGAATTTAATGTAATGTATATGAATGGACTCAAATGAAATGCAATTGAATTAAATGGACTCGAAGGAATAGAATGGAAAGGAATGGAAAGGAACGGAATGCAATTGACTCGACTGGAAAGGAATGGAATGGACTCGAATGGAACGGAATGCCCTCGAACGGAATGAATGGAATGGAATCAACTCGATTGGAATGGAATACGGAATGGAATGGAATGGACTCGAGTGGAATGGACTGGAATGGAATGGACTCGAATGGAATGGAATGGAACGGAATGGAATGGAATGGACCCAAAAGGAATGGAATGGAATTGAATGGACTCGAATGGAAAGGAAAGGAATGGAATGGAATGGAATGGATCCAAAAAGAATGGAATGGAATTGAATGGACTCGAATGGAAAGGAAAGGAGTGGAATACAATGGACTCAAATGGAATGGAATGGAATTGATGGACTCGAATTGAATGGAATGCAATGGACTTGAATATAATGGAATGTCCTCGAATGGAATGGAATGGAATGGAGTCAACTCGAGTAGAATGGAATATGTAATGGAATGGAATGGAATGGACTCGAGTGGAATGGAATGGAATAGAATGGACTCGAATGGAATGGAATGGACTGGAATATAATGTGATGGAATGGACTCGAATGTAATGGAATGGAATCAAATGGAGTGCAATGGAATGGACTCGAACAGAATGGAATGGAATTGACTCGAATGGAAAGGAATGGACTCGAATAGAATGTAATGGAATGGACTCGAATGGAACGGAATGTAATGGCGTCGAATGGAATGCAATGGAATGGACTCGAATGTAATGGAATGGAATTGAATCGAATGGAATTGAATGGAAGAGACCCTAACGGAATGTAATGGAAAGGAATGGTGTGGACTCTAATGGAGTGGAAAGGAATGGATTGGAACGGACTCGAATGGAATGTAATGGAATTGAATGGACATAAATGGAATGGAATGGACATGAATGGAATGGACTCGAATGGAATGGAATTGAATGGATTCAAAAGGAATAGAACGGATTGTAATGGTCTCGAATGGAATGGAATGGAATGGACTCGAATAGAATAGAATGGAATGGACTCGAATTGAATGAAATGGAATGGAGTCAAATGGAATGGAGTCTAATGGATTCAAATGGAAGGGAATGGAATGGAATGGACCCGAATGGAATGCAATGTAGCCAATCTGAATGGACTCGAAAGGAAAGCAATGTAGAGAAATGATATGGACACGAATGGAATGGAATGGAATGGAATGAAATGGACTCAAATGGAATGGAAACTAATGGCATGAAACGGAATGCAATGGAACGGAATGGAATGGAATGCAATGGAATGGAATAAAATCGAATGGACTGGAGTAGAATGCCATTGAATTAAATGGATTCAAAAGGAATTCAGTGGAATGGAATGGACTGGACTGGAATGGAATGGAATGGACTTGAATTGAATGAAATGGAATGCACTCGAATGTAAAGGAATGCCCTCAAATGGAATGGAATCAACTCGAGTGGAATGGACTCGAGTGGAATGGACTGGAATGGAATGAACTCGAAAGGAATGGAATAGAATGGACCCGAAAGGAATGGAATGGAATAGAATAGACTCGAGTGGAATGGACCTGAAAGGAGGGCAATGGAATAGAATGGACTCAAATGGAATGGAACGTAACGGAATGGATCGGACTTGAATGGAACGGCATGGAATGGAATCGAATGGAATGGAATGGACTGGACCCGAATGGAATGGAATTGACTGGAATGGAATGGAATGGAATGGAATTTACCCGAATGGAATGTAATGGAATAGAATGGATTGGGCTCAAATGGAATGGAATGGATTCAAATGGAATGGAATGGAATGGACTCAAATGGAATAGCATGGAATGGAATGGACTCGAATGCAATGGAATGGAATGGACTCAAATGGAATGGAAAGGACTCGACGGGAATGGAGTGGAATGGACTCGAATGGAATGCAATGGAATTGAATGGAATCGAATTGAATGGAATGTAACGAAATGGAATGAACTCGTATGGAATGGAAAGTAATGGAATGAAATGGGCTCGAATGGATTGGAATGGAATGGAATGGACTCAATGGAATGGAATGGAATGGAATGGGATGAAATAGAATGGAATGCATTTGAAATGAATGGACCCGAAAAGAATGGAATGGAATGGATTGGAATGGAATGGAGTGAAATGGAATGGAATGGAATGGAATGGAGTGGAATTGAATGGAATGGAATGAAGTGGACTCGAATGGAATCGAATTGAATGGAATGGACTCGAATGAAATGGAATGGACTCGAATGGAATGGAATCGACTCGAGTGGAATGGAATGGAATGGAATTGAACGGACTCAAATGAAATGGAATGCAGTGGAATTAACTCGAATGGCATGCAATGGAATGGAGTAGACTCGAATGGAATGGAATGGAATGGACTTGAATGGAATAGAGTGGAATGGAATCGAATGGAATGGTGTGGAATGGAATGGACACGAATGGAATGCAGTGGAATGGACTTGAATGGAATGGCATGGAGTGGACTCCATTTGAATGGAATGGAATGGACTCAAATGGAATGGAATGGACTCGAATGGAATGGAAGTGAATGGAATGGACTCGAATTGATTAGAGCAGAATTTTAGGGTGTGGAATCAAATGTAATGGAAAGGAGCGGACTCGAATGGAATAAAACAGACTGGACTCGAAAGAAATGGAATGCAATGGAAAGAACTCGAATGCAATGGAATGGAATGGACTTGAATAGAACGTAACAGTATTGAATGGACTTGAAAGGATTGGAATGGAAGGCAATGGAATGGACTGAAGTGGAATGGAATGGAATTGACTCGAACGGAATTGAATGGATTGGACCCGAATGGAATGGAATGGAATGGACTCGAATTCAATGGCACGGAACGGACTGGATTGGAAGGGAATGGAATGTAATGGATTTGAATGTAATGGAATGGAATGGATTCGAATGGAATGGAATGGAATGGAATGGAATGGACTCGAATGTAATGGAATGGACTCAAATGGAATGGAATGGAATTTAATGGAATGGACTCTAATGGAATGGAAACTAATAGAAATGAATGGAACAGACTCAAATGGAATAGAATGGAATGGACTCGAATGGAATGGAATGGTGTGGAATGGAATGGACTCGAATGGAATTGAGTAGAATGGACTCGAATGGAATGGAATGGAGTGGACTCGAATGGAATACAGTGGAATTTAATGGAATGGACTCTAATGGAATGGAATGGAGAGGACTGGAATGGAATAAAACGGACTGGACTCGAATGGAATGGAATGGAATGGAAATGACTCGAATGGAATGGAATGGAATGAACTCGAAGAGAAAGTAATGGGATTGAATGGACTTGAAAAAATTGTAATGGAATGCAATGGAATGGAATCAAAAGGAATGGAATGGAATTGACTAGAATGGAATTGAATGGATTGGACCCGAATGGAATGGAATGGAATGTATTCGAAGTCAATGGAATGGAATGGACAGGATTGGAATGGAATGGAAAGGAATGGATTCGAATGGAATGGAATGGAATGGACTCGAGTGTAATGGGTCAGAAAGGAATGGTCTCGAATGAAAGAGAATGGAATGGACTCAAAAGGAATAACATGGAATGGAATGGACTGGAATGCCATGGAATGGAATGGACACTAATCGAATGGAATGGTCTCGAATGGAATAGAATGGAATGGAATCAAAAGGAATAACATGGAATGGAATGCCATGGAATGGAATGGACACGAATCGAATGGAATGGAGTCGAACAGAATGGAATCGAATGGAATGGACTCGAATGGAATGGTATGTAAAGGAATAGAATAGACTCGAATGGAATGGAATGGAATGGAATGAAATGGAATCGAATGGAATGGAAGGGAAAGGAAAGGTGTGGAATTGAATGGAGTGGAATTTAAATGTAATGGACTCGAACGGATTGCAATTGAATTGACTGGACTTGAAAGGAATGGACTGGAATGGAAAGGAATGGACTCGAATCTAATGGAATGGAATGAACTAGAATGGAATGGAATGGAATGGACTCTAATGGAATGGAATGGACTCGAATGGAATGGAATTGACTCAAAAGGAACGAAATGGAATGGAATTTTTTTGAATGAAATGGAATGGAAAGGACTCGAATGGAAAGGAATTCAATGGAATGGACTCGAATGGAATGGAATGGAGTGGAATGGACTCTAATGGAATGGAATGGAATTGAAGAGATTCGAATGGCATGGAATAGAATGTACTCGAATGAAATGGGTTGGAATGGAATGGACTCGAATGGAATGGAATGGAATGGACTCAAATGGTATCAAAAGGAACAGAATGGACTGGAATGGAATGAAATGGAATCGACTCGAATGTAATTGTATGGATTCGAATGGAATGGAATGGAATGGAATGGATTAGACTCAAATGGAATTGAACGGAATAGAATGGAATGTACTAGAATGGAATGGAATGGAATGGACTCAAATGAAATAGAATGGAATGGAATCGAAAGGAACGGAGTGGAATGGAATGGACTCGAATGAAATGGACACGAATGCAATGGAATGGACTCGAATGGAGTGGAAAAGAATGGACCCAAATGGAATGGAATGGAATGGACTGGACTGGAATGGAATGGACTGGAATGGAATGGAATGGAATGGATTGGAATGGAATGGAATGGATTGGAATGGAATGGAATGAAATGGAGTGGAATGTAAGTGAATGGAATAGAATGGATGGAATGGAATGGACTCAAATGTACTGGAATGGAATGGACATGAATGGAATAGAATGGAATGGAATCAAAAGGAATGGAGTGGAATGGAATGGACTAGAATGGAATGGCATGGAAGGGACTCAAATAGAATGGAATGGAATTGAAAGAAATGTAATGAAACGTACCCAATTGGAATGGAATGGAATGGAATGTAAGGTACTGGAAGGGAATGGAATGGAATGGAATGCAGTGGACTTGAATGGAAAGAATGGAAAGGATCGGAAAGGACTCGATGGGAATGGAATGGAATGGACTCGAATGGAATTGAATGGACTCGAATGGAATGGAATGGAATTTAATTGAGCGGAGTCTAATGGAATGGAATCTAATGGAATTCAATGGAATGGACTCGAACAGAATAGAATGGAATGGACTCGAATGGAATGGAATGGAATGGACTCAAATCTAATTGAATGGAATGGACTCGAATGGAATGTAAAGGAATGGACTATAATGGAAAGGAATGGACTCGAACGGAATGGAATTGACTCAAAAGGAATGAAAAGGAATGGGATTTCTTCGAATGAAATGGAATGGAATGGACTCGAACGGAATGGAATTCAATGGAATGGACTCGAATGGAGTGGAATGGACTCAAATGGAATGGAATGGAATTGAAGAGATTCGAATGGAATGGAATGGAAAGTACTCGAATGAAATGGGTTGGAATGGAATGGAATCGAAAGGAATGGAATGGACTCAAATGGTATCAAATGGAACGGAATGGATTGGAATGGAATGAAATGGAATGTACTTGAATGGAATGGAATGGACTCGAATGGAATGGAATAGAATGGAATGGATTAGACTCAAATGGAATTGAATGGAATGGAATGTAGTGTGCTAGAATGGAATGTAACGGAATGGACATGAATGAAAAAGAATGGAATGGAATCAAATGGAATGGATTGGAATGGAATGGACTCGAATGAAATGGACACTAATGCAATGGAATGGACTCGAATGGAGTGGAAAAGAATGGACCCGAATGTAATGTAATGGAATGGAATGGATTGGAATGGAATGGAATGGACTGGAATGGAATGGAATGAAATGGAGTGGAATGGACATGAATGGAATAGAATGGATGGAATGGAATGGACTCGAATGGAATGGAATGGAATGGACACGAATGGAATAGAATGGAATGGAATCAAAAGGAATGGAGTGGAATGGAATGGACTCGAATGGAATGGCATGGAAGGGACTCGAAAAGAATGGAATGCACTTGAGTGAAAGGCAATGAAATGTAACAAATTGGAATGGAATGGAAGGTCCTGGAAGGGAATGGAATGGAATGGAATGCAATGGACTTGAATGGAAGAGAAAGGAATGGATCGGAAAGGACTCGATGGGAATGAAATGGAATGGACTCGAATGGAATTGAATGGACTCGAATGGAATGGAATGGAATTTCATTGAACGGACTCTAATGGAATGGAATCTAATGGAATGGAATGGAATGGACTCAAACTGAACAGAATGGAATGGACTCGAATGAAATGGAATGGAATGGACTCAAATGTAACGGAATGGAATGTATTCGAATGCAATGGAATGGAATTGAATGGTGTAGAAGGGAATGGAATGGAATGCAGTGGAATCGACTCGAATGGAATGGAATGGAATTGACTCAAGGGGAATAGAATGGAATGCACCTGAATGGAATGGAATGGAATGGAATGGACTCGAATGGAATGGCATGAAGTGGAATGGACTCGAATGGAATGGAATGGAGTGGAATGGAATGGACTTGAATGGAATGGAATGGACTCGATAGGAATGGAAAGGAACGGAAAGGTGTGGTCTCGAATATAATGGAATGGAATGGAATTGCATGGAATGGAATGGACTCGAAAGGAATGGAATATAATTGCAATGACGCGAGTGGAATGGAATAGAATGGAATGGAAACGAATGTAATTTAACGGAATGGAATGGACTTGAATGGAATAGAATGGAATGGACCCGAACGGAATAGAATGGAATGGATCTTAAAGGAATGAAATCCAAAGGAATGGAAATGAGTCGAATGGAATAGAATGGAATGCAATGGAATGGAATGGAATGGAACGGAATGGACTCGAATGGAATGGAATGGAATGGAATGGACTCGAAAGGAATGGAAAGGAATGGACTCGAATGGAATGGAATGGACACAAACGGAATGGAATGGAATGGACTCTAATGGAATACAATGCAATTTACTGGAATGGACTCTAATGGAATGGAATGGAATGCACACGAATGGAATAGAGTGGAATGGACTCGAATGGAATTGAATGGAATGGAATGCACACGAATGTAATGGAAAGGAATTGTCTCCAATGCAATAGAAATGAGTGGACTTGAACAGAAGGGAATGGAACGGAATGGAATGGAATGGAAAGGACTCGAATGGAATGGAGTGGAATGGATTGGAATGGAATGAAGTGGAATGGAATGGAATGGAAAGGAATGGAATGGGATGGAATTGAACGGAATGGACTCGAATGGAATGGAATTCAATGGACCCGAATGGAATGGTATGGAATGGAATGGACTTGAGTCGAATACAATGGAATGCAATGGAATGGACTCAATGGGGATGGAATGCAATGTACTCAAATCGAATGGAATGCAACGGAATGGACTCATATGGAATGGATTAGAATTGATTCGAATGGAATTCAATGGATTGGGCACGAATGGACTGGAAAGGAAAGGAATGGAATGGGCTCGAATGGAATGGAGTGGTATGGAATGGAGACGAATGGAATGGAATAGAATGATTGGAATGGAATGGAATGGACTGGAATGGAATGGCTTTGAATGGAAATGACTCGAATGGAATGGAATGGACTCAAATGGAATAGCATGGAATGGAATGGATTCGAATGAAATGGAATGGAAAGGAATCGAAGGGAATGGAGTGGACACAAACAGAATGGAATGGAGTGGAATGGACTCGAATGGAATAGAATGGAATGGACTGGAATGTAATGCAGTGGAATGGAATGGACTAGAATGGAATGGAATGGAATGGACTTGAACGGAATGGAATGGACTTGATTGGTAAACAATTGAATGGAGTGGAATGGACTCAAAAGTAATGGAATGGAATGGACTCGGGTGGCATGGAAGGAGCACGAATGGTATGGAATGGAAAAGAAAGGAATCGAATGGAGTACAATGGAATTTAATGGAATGGACCCTAGTGGAATGTAATGGAATGGACACCAATGGAATAGAATGGAATGGAGGCCAATGGTATGGAATGTAATGGGTTGGACTCGAATGGAATTGACTCGAAAGGAATGGAATGGAATTGAATGATCTCGAAAGGAAAGTAATGGAATGCAATGGAATGGACTCGAATGGAACGCAATGGACTGGACTCGAATGGAATGGAATGCAAAGGAATGGAATTGAATGCAATGGAATGGAATAGACTCGAATGGAAGGGGATAGAAGGGAAGGGAATGGAATGGAATGGAATGGTATCAAGTCGAATGAAATGGATGAACTCGAATGGAATGGAATGTTCTTGAATGGAACGCAATGGAATGGACTCGAATGGAATGGAATGCAACGGACCCGAATGGAATGGAATGGAATGGAATGAAATGGAATGAAAGCAAATGGAATAGAATGGAATGAAATCTAATGGAATGGAGTGGAAAGGAACGGACTCGAATGGTTTAGAATGGAATGGACTCGAATGGAATGGAATGGACTCAAACGGAATGGAATGGAATGGAATGGGATCAAATGGAATTGAATAGAATGGAATGCAATGCACTCGAGTGGAATGGAATGGAATGGATTCGTATGGAATGCGATGGAATTGAATGAACTGCAATAGAAGGGAATGGAATGGACTCGAATTGTATGGAAAGGAGTAGACTAAAACGGAAAGGAATAGACTCAAAATGAATGGAATGGAATGGAATCCACTCTAGTGGAATGGAACGAAATGGAATAGACTAGAATGGAATACAAAGGAATGGAATGGAATGGACTCGAATGGAATGGAATGGAAAGTACTTGAAAGGAATGGAATGGAAGAGAATGGAATGGAATAGACTCGAATGGAATGGAATGGAATTGAAACGAAAGGAATGCAATGGACTCAGATGGAATGGAAATGAGTCGAGTGTAATGGAATGGAATGTAATGGAATGGAACGGACCCGAATGGAACAGAAAGGAATGGAATGGAATGCACTCGAATGGAGTGGAATGGAAAGGAATGGAATGGAATGGAATGGACTCGAATAGAATGGAATAGAATGGACCTGAATGGAAAGGAAAGGAATGTAATGGAATGGAATAAAATTGAATGGAATGGAAAGGTATGGAATGGAATGGAATGCAATGGAAAGGAAAGGAATGGAATGGAATGGAATGAAATGGAATGAAATGAAATGGAATGGTATGGAATAGAATGGGCTTGAATGGAATAGAATGGAATGGAATGGAAAGCAATGGACCTGAATTTCAAGGATTGGAATGGAAACGATTCAAGTGGAATGGAATGGACTCGAATGGAATGGAATGGAATGGACCCAAGTGGAATGGAAGGGAATGGAATGGACTGGAATCGAATGGAATGAAATGGAATGGAATGGACTCGAATGGAATAGGTTGGAATGGAAATGAATGGAAAGGAGTGGAATGGAATGGAATGGAATGAAATGGAATGGAATGGACTTGATTGGAAAAGAATGGAATGGAATGAAAAGAAATCGAAATTAATGGAATGGAATGGAATCTTGTGGATTGGAATGGACTCGAATGGAATGGAATGGAATAGAATTGACTCGAATGGAATACAGTGGAATTTAATGGAATGGACTCCAATGGAATTTAATGGAAGGGACTCGAATGGAATAGAATGGAATGGAATAGAATGGAATGGAATCCAATGGAATGGACTACAATGGAATGGACTCAAAAGTATTGGACTCGAATGGAATGGAATGGATTTCAATGGTCTTGAAAGGAATGGAATGGAATGGAATGGACTAGAATGGAATGAAATGCACTGCACTCGAATGGAATGGAATTGAATGCAATGGAATGGACTCAAGTAGACTGGAATGGAAAGGAATGAAATGAAATGGAATGAACTTGAATGGAATAGAATGGAATGGAATGCACTCGAATGGAATGGAATGCACTCAAATGGAATGGAATGGAATTTAATGGAATGGACTCTAATGGAATGGAATCAAATGGAACGGAAAGGAATGGACTCGAATGGAATCAAATGGAATGGACTCGAATGGAATCAAATGGAATAGACTCGAAGAGAATGGAATGAAAAGGAATGGACTCGAATGGAATGGAATGGAATTGACTCGATTGGAATTGAATGTAATGGACTTGAATGGAATAGAATGGGATGGACTCGAATGGAATGGTGTGGAATGGAATGGAATCGAGTGGAATGGAGTGGAATGGACTCGAATGAAATGAAATTGAATAGACTCTATTTGAATGGAATGGAATGGAATGAAATGGACTCGAATGGAATGGAATGGAATGGTCTTGGACCGAATGGAATGGAATGAAAAGGAATGGAATGGAATGGAATGGAATGGCATGGAATGAAATGGAATGGAATGGAATGAAATTGAATGGAATGAAGTGGAATACACTCAAGTGGAATGGAATTGAATGGACCCGAATAGAATGGAATGGAATGGAATGGACTCGAATGGAATGGAAAGGAATGGAACTGAAGGGAATGGAATGCAATGGAATGGATTTGAATGGAATGGAATGGAAAGGACTCGAATGAAACACAACGGAATTTAATGGAATGGTCTATAATAGAATTGAATGTTGTGGACTTGAATGGAATAAAATGGACTGGACACGAATGGAAGGGAATGCAATGGAATGAACTCGAATGGAATGAAATGGAATGGATTTGAATGGAATGAAATGGAATTGAATGATCTCAAAAGGATTGGAATGCAATGCAATGCAATGGACTCGAATGGAATGGAGTGGAATTGACTCGAATGGAATTGAAAGAAATGGACATTGGAATGGAATGGAATGGACTCGAATGGAATGGAAAGGAATGGAATCGAAGGGAATGGAATGCAATGGAATGGATTCGAATGGAATGGAATGGAATGGACTCGAATGGAATGGGTTGGAATGGAATGGACTCGCATGGAACGGAATGGCACGAAATCAAATGGTACAGAATGGAATGGAATAGACTCGAATGAAATGGGATTGAAAGGACTCAAATGGAATGGAATGGAATAGAACGGATTCAAATGTAATAGAATGGAATGGACTTGAATGGAATGGAGTGGAATGGAATGGACTCGAATGGAATGGAGTGCAATTGAAATGAATAGAATGGAATGGAAATGATTGGAGTCGAATGGAATGGATTGTAACGGAATAGAAAGTACTCGAATGGAATGGAAGGTAATGGCATGAAATTTACTCGAATAGAATGGAATGGAGTGGAATGGAATGGAATAGATTCGAATGGAATTCAACGGAATGGAATGCAATGGAGTGAAACGGAATGGAATGGATTTGAATGGAATAGAATGGATTGGAATGGAATGGACTCGAAGGAAAAGGAATGGAATGGAATCGAAAGGAAAGGAATGGAATTTAACAGAATGGAGTCTAATGGCATGGAATCTAATGGAATGGAATGAAATGGACTCGAATGGAATGGAATGGAATGGACTCCCAAGGAATGCAATGCAATGGAATGGACTCGAATGGAATGGAATGGAATTGACTCGAATGAAATTGAATGGAATGGACTTGAGTGCAATAGAATGGAAAGGACTCGAAAGGAATGGTGTGGAATGGAAGGGATTCGAATGGAATGGAGTGGATTGGACTCGAATGGAATGGAATTGAATGGACACGATTGGAATGGAATACATTGGAATGAAATGGATTTGAAAGGAATGGACTGGAATGGAATGGTCACGGATGGAATGGAATGAAATGGAAAGGACTCGAATGAAATACAACGAAATTTAATCGAATGGACTCTAATGTAACGGAATGTTGCGGGCTCCAATGGAATAAAATGGACTATACACGAATGGAATGGACTCGAATGGAATGGAATGGACTCGAATGGAATGGAATGGAACGGATCCAAAGGTCATAGAATGGAATGGACTCGAATGGAATGGAATGGACTCGGATGGAATGGAAAGGAATGGAATGGATTCAAATGTAATAGAATGGATTGGACTCGAATGAAATCGAATGGGATGCAGTCGAATGAAATGGAATGGAATGGAATGGATTCCAATGTAATAGAATGGAATGTACTCGAATGGAATGGAAGGTAATGGAATGGAATGGAATCAAATGGAATGGAATGGAAAGGAATAGAATGGACTGGAATGGAATGGAATGAAATGGAATGGAACTGACTTGAATGGAATAGAATGCAATGGAATGGTATGAAATCAAAGGGAATGGAATGGAATGGTCTCGAATGGAATGGAATGGACTCGAATGGAAGGGAATGGAATTTAATAGAATGGACCCAATGGGATGGAATCTAAAGGAATGGAATGGAATGGACTCGAATGGAATGGAATGGATTGGAATCAAATGCTATGGAATGCAATGGAATGGACTGGAAAGGAATGGAATAGAATTGACTTGAATGGAATTGAATGGAATGGACACGAATGGAACAGAATGGGATGGACTCCAATGGAATGGTGTGGAACGGAATGGACACGAATGAAATGGAGTGGAATAGACTCAAATGGAATGGAACTGAAATGACATGATTTGTATGGAATGTAGTGGAGTAAATTGGACTCGAATGGAATGGAATGGAATCGAATGGTCTCGGATGGAATGGAATGGAATGGAATGGAATGGAATGGTTTGGAATGGACAGAAATGGAAGGGAATGGATAGGAACAGAAAGGAATGCAATGGAATGCAATGGACTCGAATGGAATGAAATGGAATGGAACCTATTTAAATGGAATGGAATGGAATGCTCACGAATGGAATGAAATGGAATGGAAAGGACTCAAATGGAATGGAATGGAATGGAATGGAATGGACTCGAATGAAATACAACAGAATTGAAAGAAATGGACTCTAATGGAATGAAATGTTGTGGACTTGAATGGAATAAGATGGACTTTACTCAAATAGAATGGAATGAAATTGAATGGACTCGAACTGAATGGAATGGAATGGATGCGAATGGAATGAAATGGAATTGAATCGACTCGAAGGGATTGGAATGCAAAGCAATGGAATGGACTCGAATGGATTGCAATGGAATTGACTCGAATGGAATTGAATGGATTGGACCTGAATGGCATGGAATGGAATGCAATGGAATGGAATCAAATGGAATGGAATGGAATCGAATCGAATGGAATGGTATGGATTCGAATGGAATGGAATGCAATGGACTCGAATGAAATGGATTCGAATGGAATGGAATGCAATGGACTCGAATGAAATGGGTTGGAATGGAATGGACTCGAATGGAAAGGAATGGAATGTAACCAAATGGTATAGAATGGAATGGAATGGACTCGAATGAAATGGAATGGAATGGACTCGAATGGAATGGAATAGGATGGAACAGATTCAAATGTAATAGAAGAGAATGGACTGTAATGGAATGGAGAGAAATGGAATGGACTCGAATGGAATGGAGTGCATTGGAAACGAATAGATGGAATGGAAATGAATGGACTCGAATGGAATTGAATGTAACGGAATGGAATGTACTCGAATGGAATGGAAGGTAATGGAATGTAATTTATGCGAATGGAAAGGAATGGAATGGAATGAAATGGAATGGAATCGAATGGCATTGAATGGCATGGAATAGAATGGAATGGAATGGAATGGAGTGGAATCGACTGGAATGGAATGGAATGAAATGGAATAGAATGGACTTGAATGAAATAGAATGGAATGGAATGGAGTGGAATGGAATGGAATGGAAAGGAATGGATTCGAAGGGAATGGAATGAAATGGACTCGAATGGAATGGAATGGACTAGAAAGGAAGGGCATGTAATGTAATAGAAAGGACCCTAATGGAATGGAATCTAATGGAATGGAATCGAATGGAATTGAATGGAATGGAATTGACTCGATTGGAATGGAACACAATGGAATGGACTCGAATGTAATGGAATGGATTGGAATGGACTAGAAAGGAATTGAAAGGAATGGACACGAATGGAATAGAATGTGATGGACTCGAATGGAATGGTGTTGAATGGAATGGACTTTAATGGAATGGAGTGTTAAGGACTCGAATGGATTGGAATTGAATGGATTCTTCTGGAATGGAATGGATTGGAATGAAATGGACTAGAATGGAATGGAATGGAATGGAACCGAACAGAATGAATTGGAATGGAATGGAACGGACTCGAATGGAATGGAATGGAATGGAATGGAATGAAATGGAATAGAACGGACTGCAATGGAATGGAGTGGAATGGAACAGACTCCAATGGATTGGAATGGAATGGATTCGAATTGAATAGAAAGGAATGGAAAGGAATGGACTTGAATGGAATGGAATGGAAAGGCATAGAATCCAAAGGAGTGGACTGGAATGGAAAAGAATGTAATGGCGTGGAAACAAATGGAATGGAGTTGAATGGAATGGACCCGAATGTATGTCATGGAATCAAATGGAATCGACACAAACAGAATGGAATGGAATGGAATGGAATGGACTGGGATGGAATGGAATGGAATGGAATGGAATGGAATGGAATGGTATGGAAGGAAAAGGAATGGAATGGAATGGACTCAAACGGAATGGAATGGAATTGAATGGACTCAAAAGGAATGGAATTGAATGGAATTCAATGGAATGGAAGGACTCGAAAGGAATGGAATTAATGGAATGCAAAGGCATTCAATGGAATGGAATGGAATGGAATGGAAGGGAATGGATTGGACTCGAATGGAATGGAGTGGAATGGGCTCGAAGGAAAGAAATAGAATGGACTCGAATGGAATGGAACGGGATGGAACAGGTTCACATGTAATAGAAGACAATGACTCGCATGGACTGGCGTGGAATGGAATGGATTGGAATGGATTGGAGTGCAATGGAAACGAATAGAAAGGAATGGAAATGAATGGACTCGCATGGAATGGAATGTAACAGAATGGAATGTACTCGAATGGAATGGAAGGTAATGGAATGAAATTTATTCGAATGGAAAGGAGTGGAATAGAATGGAATGGAATGGAATGGAATGGAATGGAACAGAATAGAATGGAATAGAAAGGAATGGAATGGAATGGCATGAAATGTAATGGACTGGACTTAAAATGGAATAGAATGGAATGGAATGGAAAGGACTAGAAGGAATGGAATGAAGGACACGAATGGAATGGAATGGACTCGAAAGGAAGGGGATGGAATGTAATAGAATGGACTCTAGTGGAAGGGAATCTAATGGAATTGAATGGACTTGGATGGAATGGAATGGAATGGACTCGAATGGAATGGAATGCAATCGAATGGACTCAAATGGAATGGAATGCAATTGAGTAGAAAATAATTGAATGGCATGGACTAGAATGTAATAGAATGTAATGGACTCCAGTGGAAAGTTGTCGAATGGAAAGGACTCATATGGAATGGAGTGGAATGGACTAGAATGGAATGGAATTGAATGGACGCGATTGGAATGGAAGATATTCTAATGAAGTGGACTCGAATGGAATGGAATTGAGTGATCTCGATTGGAATGGAATAGATTCTAAGAAATGGACTAGAATGGAATGGAATGGAATGGACCAGAACCGAAAGAGTTGGAATGGAATGGAATGTAATTGAAAGGAATGGAATGGAATGGAATGGAATGGAATGGAAAGGAATGGAATGGAATGGAATGTCCTCAAAAGGAATTGAATGGAATGGAACGGATTCGAATGGAATGGAATGGAATGGACTCGAATGGAATAGAAAGAATGGAAAGGAATAGACTTGAACAGAATGGAATGGAATGGCATAGACTCGAAAGGAATGGATCCGAATGTAATGTCATGGAATCAAATGGAATGGACTCGAATGGAATGGAATGGAACTGACTCGAATGAAATTGAATGGAATGGACTTGAGTGGAATAGAATGGAAAGGACTCGAAAGGAATGGTGTGGAATGCAAGGTATTCGAATGGAATGGAGTGGATTGGACTCGAATGGAATGGAATTGAATGGACTCGATTGGAATGGAATACAATGGAATGAAATGGATTCGAAAGGAATGGACTGGAATGGAATGGTCACGGATGGAATGGAAAGGACTCGAATGAAATACAACGGAATTTAATCGAATGGACTCTAATGTAACGGAATGTTGTGGACGCCAATGGAATAAAATGGACTATACACGAATGGAATGGACTCGAATGGAATGGAATGGAATGGAATGGAACGGATCCAAAGGTCATAGAATGGAATGGACTCGAATGGAATGGAATGGACTCGGATGGAATGGAAAGGAATGGAATGGATTCAAATGTAATAGAATGGATTGGACTCGAATGGAATCGAATGGGATGCACTCGAATGAAATGGAATGGAATGGAATAGATTCAAATGTAATAGAATGGAATGTACTCGAATGGAATGGAATGGAATCAAATGGAATGGAATGGAAAGGAATAGAATGGACTGGAATGGAATGGAATGAAATGGAATGGAACTGACTTGAATGGAATAGAATGCAATGGAATGGTATGAAATCAAAGGGAATGGAATGGAATGGTCTCGAATGGAATGGAATGGACTCGAATGGAAGGGAATGGAATTTAATAGAATGGACCCAATGGGATGGAATCTAATGGAATGGAATGCAATGGACTCGAATGGAATGGAATGGATTGGAATCAAATGCTATGGAATGCAATGGAATGGACTGGAATGGAATGGAATAGAATTGACTTGAATGGAATTGAATGGAATGGACACGAATGGAACAGAATGGGATGGACTCCGATGGAATGGTGTGGAACGGAATGGACACGAATGGAATGGAGTGGAATAGACTCAAATGGAATGGAACGAAGGGACATGATTTGTATGGAATGTAGTGGAATAAATTGGACTGGAATGGAATGGAATGGAATCGAATGGTCTCGGATGGAATGGAATGGAATGGTTTGGAATGGACAGAAATGGAAGGGAATGGATAGGACCAGAAAGGAATGGAATGGAATGCAACGGACTCGAATGGAATGAAATGGAATGGAACCTATTCTAATGGAATGGAATGGAATGGTCACGAATGGAATGAAATGGAATGGAAAGGACTCAAATGGAATGGAATGGAATGGAATGGACTCGAATGAAATACAACAGAATTGAATGAAATGGACTCTAATGGAATGTAATGTTGTGGACTTGAATGGAATAACATGGACTTTACTCAAATGGAATGGAATGAAATTGAATGGACTCGAACTGAATGGAATGGAATGGATGCGAATGGAATGAAATGGAATTGAATCGACTCGAAGGGATTGGAATGCAAAGCAATGGAATGGACTCGAATGGATTGGAATGGAATTGACTCGAATGGAATTGAATGGATTGGACCTGAATGGCATGGAATGGAATGCAATGGAATGGAATCAATGGAATGGAATGGAATCGAATCGAATGGAATGGTATGGATTCGAATGGAATGGAATGCAATGGACTCGAATGAAATGGGTTGGAATGGAATGGACTCGAATGGAAAGGAATGGAATGTAACCAAATGGTATAGAATGGAATGGAATGGACTCGAATGAAATGGAATGGAATGGACTCGAATGGAATGGAATAGGATGGAACAGATTCAAATGTAATAGAAGAGAATGGACTCTAATTGAATGGAGAGAAATGGAATGGACTCGAATGGAATGGAGTGCATTGGAAAAGAATACACGGAATGGAAATGAATGGACTCGAATGGAATTGAATGTAACGGAATGGAATGTACTCGAATGGAATGGAAGGTAATGGAATGTAATTTATGCGAATGAAAGGAATGGAATGGAATGAAATGGAATGGAATCGAATGGCATTGAATGGCATGGAATAGAATGGAATAGAGTGGAATGGAGTGGAATCGACTGGAATGGAATGGAATGATATGGAATAGAATGGACTTGAATGAAATAGAATGGAATGGAATGGAATGGAATGGAAAGGAAATGGATTCGAAGGGAATGGAATGAAATGGACTCGAATGGAATGGAATGGACTAGAAAGGAAGGGCATGTAATGTAATAGAATGTAGCCTAGTGGAATGGAATCTAATGGAATGGAATCGAATGGAATTGAATGGAATGGAATTGACTCCATTGGAATGGAACACAATGGAAAGGACTCGAATGGAATGGAATGGAATGGAATTGACTAGAAAGGAATTGATAGGAATGGACACGAATGGAATAGAATGTGATGGACTCAAATGGAATGGTGTTGAATGGAATGCACTTTAATGGAATGGAGTGTTATGGACTCGAATGGATTGGAATTGAATGGACTCTTCTGGAATGGAATGGATTGGAATGAAATGGACTAGAATGGAATGAAATGGAATGGAACGGAACAGAATGAATTGGAATGGAATGGAACGGACTCGAAAGATGGAATGGAATGGAATGGAATGGAATGAAATGGAATAGAATGTACTGCAATGGAATGGAGTGGAATGGAACAGACTTCAATGGATTGGAATGGAATGGTTTCGAATTGAATAGAAAGGAATGGAAAGAATGGACTTAATGGAATGGAATGGAATGGCATAGAATCCAAAGGAGTGGACTGGAATGGACAAGAATGTAATGGCGTGGAATCAAATGGAATGGAGTTGAATGGAATGGAACCGAATGTATGTCATGGAATCAAATGGAATCGACTCGAACAGAATGGAATGGAATGGAATGGACTGGGATGGAATGGAATGGAATGGTATGGAAGGAAAGGAATGGAATGGAATGGACTCAAACGGAATGAAATGGAGTTGAATGGACTCAAAAGGAATGGAAATAATGGAATTCAATGGAATGGAGCGGACTCGAAAGGAATGGAATTGAGGAATGCAAAGGCATTCAATGGAAGGAATGGAATGGAAGGGAATGGATTGGACTCAAATGGAATGGAGTGGAATGGGCTCGAATGGAATTAAAGAATGGACTCGAATGGAATGGAACGGGATGGAACAGATTCACATGTAATAGAAGAGAATGGACTCGCATGGACTGCGTGGAATGGAAAGGATTCGAATGGAAGGAGTGCAATGGAAACGAATAGAAAGGAAGGAAATGAATGGATTCGCATGGATGAATGTAAAGAATGGAATTACTCGAATGGAATGGAAGGTAATGGAATGAAATTTATTCGAATGGAAAGGAATGGAATAGAATGGAATGGAATGGAATGGAATGGATTGGATAGAAGAATAGAATAGATTGGAATAGAAAGGAATGGAATGGAATGGAATCAATGTAATGGACTGGACTTAAAATGGAATAGAATGGAATGGAATGGAATGAATGGAATATAATAGAATGGAATAGAAGGATGGAATGGAATGGAATGAAAGTAATGACTGGACTTAAAATGGAATAGAAGAATGGAATGGAAAGGACTAGAAGGGAATGGAATGGAATGGACACAATGGAATGGATGGACTCGAAAGGAAGGGGATGGAATGTAATAGAAGACTGTAATGAAGGAATCTAATGAATTGAATGGACTTGAATGGAATGGAATGGAATGGACTCGAATGGAATGGAAGCAATCGAATGGACTCAAATGGAATGGAATGCAATTGAATAGAAAATAACTGAATGGCATGGACTAGAATGTAATAGAATGTAATGGACTCCAGGGAAAGTTGTCGAATGGAATGGACTCATATGGAATGGAGTGGAATGGACTAGAATGGAATGGAATTGAATGGACTCGATTGGAAGGAAGATATTCAATGAAGTGGACCGAATGGAATGGAATTGAGTGATCTCGATTGGAATGGAATAGATTCTAAGAAATGGATAGAATGGAATGAATGGAATGGACCAGAACGAAAGAGTGGAATGGAATGGAATGGAATGTAATTGAAAGGAAGGAAGGAATGAAGGATGGAATGTCCCAAAAGGAATTGAATAGAATGGAACGGATTCGAAGGGAATGGAATGGAATGGACTCGAATGAAATAGAAAGAATGGAAAGGAATAGACTTGAAAAAAATGGAATGGAATGGCATAAGACTCGAATGGAATGGACCCGAATGTAATGTCATGGAATCAAATGGAATGGACTCGAATGGAATGGAATGGAATTGACTCGAATGAAATTGAATGGAATGGACTTGAATGGAATGAATGGAAAGGACTCGAAGGAAGGGTGTGGAAAGGAAGGGATTCGAAGGAATGGAGTGATTGGACTCGAATGGAATGGAATTGAATGGACTCGATTGGAATGGAATACAATGGAATGAAATGGATTCGAAAGCAATGGACTGGAATGGAATGTTCACGGATGGAATGGAATGGAATGGAAAGGACTCGAATGAAATACAACGGAATTTAATCGAATGGACTCTAATGTAATGGAATGTTGTGGACTCCAGTGGAATAAAATGGACTAACACGAATGGAATGGACTCGAATGGAATGGAATGGAACGGAACGGATCCAAAGGCATAGAATGGAATGGACTCGAATGGAATGGAATGGACTCGAGGAATGAGAAAGGAATGGAATGGATTCAAATGTAATAGAATGGATTGGACTCGAATGGAATCGAATGGGATGCAGTCGAATGAAATGGAATGAATGAATGGATTCACATGTAATAGAATGGAATGTACTCGAATGGAATGGAAGGTAATGGAATGGAATGGAATCAAATGGAATGGAATGGAAAGGAAAAAATGGACAGCAATGGAATGGAATGAAATGGAATGGAACTGTTGAATGGAATAGAATGGAATGGAATGGTATGAAATCAAAGAGAATGGAATGAATGGTCTCGAGTGGAATGGAATGGACTCGAATGGAAGGGAATGGAATTTAATAGAATGAACCCAATGGGATGGAATTAAGGAATGGAATGGATGGACTCGAATGGAATGGAATGGATTGGAATCAAATGCTATGGAATGCAATGGAATGGACTGGAATGGAATGGAATAGAATTGACTTGAATGGAATTGAATGGAATGGACACGAATGGAACAGAATGGGATGGACTCCAATGGTGGTGTGGAACGGAATGGACACGAAAGGAATGGAGTGGAATAGACTCATGAATGGAACTGAAGGGACATGATTTGTATGGAATGTAGTGGAATAAATTGGACTCGAATGGAATGGAATGTAACGAATGGTCTCGAATGGAATGGAATGGAATGGACTGTTTTGGAATGGACAGAAGGAAGGGAATGGATAGGACCAGAAAGGAATGGAATGGAGTGCAATGGACTCGAATGGAATGAAATGAAATGGAACTATTTGAATGGAATGGAAGGAGTGGTCACGAATGGAATGAAATGGAATGGAAAGACTCAAATGGAATGGAATGGAATGGACTCGAATGAAATACAACAGAATTGAATGAAATGGACTCTAATGGAATGTAATGTTGTGGACTTGAATGGAATAAAATGGACTTTACTCAAATGGAATGGAATGAAATTGAATGGACCGAACTGAATGGAATGGAATGATGCGAATGGAATGAAAGGGAATTGAATCGACTCGAAGGGATTGGAATGCAAAGCAATGGAATGGACTCGAATGATTGGAATGGAATTGACTCGAATGGAATTGAATGGATTGGACCTGAATGGCATGGAATGGAATGCAATGGAATGGAATCAAATGGAATGGAATGGAATCGAATCGAATGGAATGGTATGATTCGAATGGAATGGAATGCAATGGACACGAATGAAATGAGTTGGAATGGAATGGACTCGAATGGAAAGGAATGGAATGTAACCAAATGGTATAGAATGGAATGGAATGGACTCGAATGAAATGGAATGGAATGGACTCGAATGGAATGGAATAGGATGGAACAGATTCAAATGTAATAGAAGAGAATGGACTCTAATTGAATGGAGAGAAATGGAATGGACTCGAATGGAATGGAGTGCATTGGAAAAATACATGGAATGGAAATGAATGGACTCGAATGGAATTGAATGTAACGGAATGGAATGTACTCGAATGGAATGGAGGTAAAGGAATTAATTTATGCGAATGGAAAGGAATGGAATGGAATGAAATGGAATGGAATCGAATGGCATTGAATGGCATGGAATAGAATGGAATGGAATGGAATGGAGTGGAATCGACTGGAATGGAAGGAATGAAGTGGAATGAATGGACTTGAATGAAATAGAATGGAATGGAATGGAATGGAATGGAATAGAATGGAATGGAATGGAATGGAATGGAAAGGAATGGATTCGAAGGGAATGGAATGAAATGGACTCGAATGGAATGGAATGGACTAGAAAGGAAGGGCATGTAATGTAATACAATGGACCCTAGTGGAATGGAATCTAATGGAATGGAATCGAATGGAATTGAATGGAATGGAATGACTCGATTGGAATGGAACACAATGGAATGGATTCGAATGGAATGGAGTGCAATGGAAACGAATAGAAAGGAATGAAATGAATGGACTCGCATGGAATGGAATGTAACAGAATGGAATGTACTCGAATGGAATGGAATGTAATGGAATGAAATTATCGAATGGAAAGGAATGGAATAGAATGGAATGGAATGGAATGGATTGGAATGGAATGGAATGGAGGAATTGAATGGAATAGAATAGATTGGAATAGAAAGGAATGGAATGGAATGGAATGAATGTAATGGACTGGACTTAAATGGAATAGAATGGAATGGAATGGAAGGAATTGAATGGAATAGAATAGAATGGAATAGAAAGGAATGGAATGGAATGGAATGAAAGGTAATGGAAGACTTAAAATGGAAAGAATGGAATGGAATGGAAAGGACTAGAAGGGAATGGAATGGAATGGACACGATTGGAATGGAATGGACTCGAAAGGAAGGGATGGAATGTAATAGAATGGACTCTAATGGAAGGGAATCTAATGGAATTGAATGGACTTGAATGGAATGGAATGGAATGGAATGGACTCGATAAAATGGAATGCAATAGAATGGACTCAAATGGAATGAATGAAATTGAGTAGAAAATAATTTAATGCATGGAATAGAATGTAATAGAATGTAATGGACTCCAGGGAAAGTGTCGAATGGAATGGACTGATATGGAGAGTGGAATGGACTCGAATGGAATGGAACTGAATGACTCGATTGAGAAGATATTCTATAAGTGGACTCGAATGGAATGGAATTGAGTGATCTAGATTGGAATGGAATAGATTCTGAAATGGACTAGAATGGAATGGAATGGAATGGACCAGAACCGTATGAGTTGGAATGGAATGGAATGGAATTGAAAGGAAAGGAATGGAATGGAATGCAATGGACTCGAAAGGAATGAAATGCAATGGAACCTATTCGAATGGAATGGAATGGAATGGTCACGACTGGAATGAAAGGAATGGAAAGGACTCAAATGGAATGGAAGGAATGGAATGGACTCGAATGAAATACAACAGAATTGAATGAAATGGACTCTAATGGAATGTAATGTTGTGGACTTGAATGGAATAAAATGGACTTTACTCAAATGGAATGGAATGAATTGAATGGACTCGAACTGAATGGAATGGAATGGTGCGAATGGAATGAAATGGAATTGAATCGACTCGAAGGGATTGGAATGCAAAGCAATGGATCTCGAATGGATTGGAATGGAATTGACTCGAATGGATTGAATGGATTGGACCTGAATGGCATGGAATGGAATGCAATGGAATGGAATCAATGGAATGGAAGGAATCGAATCGAATGGAATGGTATGGATTCGAATGGAATGGAATGCAATGGACTCGAATGAAAGGGTTGGAATGGAATGGACTCGAATGGAAAGAATGGAATGTAACCAAATGGTATAGAATGAATGGAATGGACTCGAATGAAATGGAATGGAATGGACTCGAATGGAATGGAATAGGATGAACAGATTCAAATGTAATAGAAGAGAATGGACTCTAATGGAATGGAGAGAAATGGAATGGACTCGAATGGAATGGAGTGCATTAGAAAGAAATAGATGGCAATGGAATGAATGGACTCGAATGGATTGAATGTAACGGAATGGAATGTACTCGAATGGAATGGAAGGTAATGGAATGTAATTTATGCGAATGGAAAGGAATGGTATGGAATGAAATGGAATAGAATCGAATGGCATTGAATGGTATGGAATAGAATGGAATGGAATGGAATGGAGTGGAATCCATTGGAATGGAATGGAATGAAATGGAATAGAATGGACTTGAATGAAAGAGAATGGAATGGAATGGAATGGAAAGGAAATGGATTCGAAGGGAATGGAATGAAATGGACTCGAATGGAATGGAATGGACTAGAAAGAAAGGGCATGTACTGTAATAGAATGGACCCTAATGGAATGGAATCTAATGGAATGGAATCGAATGGAATTGAATGGAATGGAATTGACTCGATTGGAATGGAAACCAATGGAATGGACTCGAATGGAATGGAATGGAATGGAATTGACTAGAAAGGAATTGAAAGGAATGGACACGAATGGAATAGAATGTGATGGTCTCGAATGGAATGGTGTTGAATGCAATGGACTTTAATGGAATGGAGTGTTATGGACTCGAATGGATTAGAATTGAATGGACTCTTCTGGAATGGAATGGATTGGAATGAAATGGACTAGAATGGAATGGAATGGAATGGAACGGAAGAGATGAACTGGAATGGAATGGAACGGACTCGAATGGAATGGAATGGAATGGAATGGAATGAAATGGAATAGAATGTACTGCAATGGAATGGAGTGGAATGGAACAGACTCCAATGGATTGGAATGGAATGGATTCGAATTGAATAGAAAGGAATGGAAAGGAATGGACTTGAATGGAATGGAATGGAATGGCATAGAATCCAAAGGAGTGGACTGGAATGGACAAAATGTAACGGCGTGGAATCAAATGGAATGGAGTTGAATGGAATGACCCGAATGTATGTCATGGAATCAAATGGAATCGACTCGAACAGAATGGAAGGAATGGAATGGACTGGGATGGAATAGAATGGAATGGAATGGTATGGAAGTAAAAGGAATGGAATGGAATGGACTGAAACGGAATGGAATGGAATTCAATGGACTCAAAAGGAATGGAATTGAATGGAATTCAATGGAATGGAATGGACTCGAAAGGAATGGAATTGAATGGAATGCAAAGGCATTCAATGGAATGGAATGGAATGGAAGGGAATGGATTGGACTCGAATGGAATGGAGTGGAATGGATTCGAATGGAATGGAAGGGATGGAACAGATTCACATGTAATAGAAGAGAATGGACTCGCATGGACTGGCGTGGAATGGAATGGATTGGAATGGAATGGATTGCAATGGAAACGTAGAAAGGAATGGAAAGAATGGACTCGCATGGAATGAAATGTAACAGATGGAATGTACTCGAAAGGAATAGAAGTTAATGGAATGAAATTTATTCGAATGGAAAGGAATGGAATAGAATGGAATGGAATGGAATGGAATGGAATGGAATGGAATGGAACAGAATAGAATGGAATAGAAAGGAATGGAATGGAATGGAATGAAATGTAATGGACTGGACTTAAAATGGAATAGAATGGAATGGAATGGAAAGGACTAGAAGGGAATGGAATGGAATGGACACGAATGGAATGGAATGGACTCGAAAGGAAGGGGATGGAATGTAATAGAATGGACTCTAATGGAAGGGAATCTAATGGAATTGAATGGACTTGAATGGAATGGAATGGAATGGACTCGAATGGAATGGAATGCAATCGAATGCACTCAAATGGAATGGAATGCAATTGAGTAGAAAATAATTGAATGGCATGGACTAGAATGTAATAGAATGTAATGGACTCCAGTGGAAAGTTGTCGAATGGAATGGACTCATATGGAATGGAGTGGAATGGACTAGAATGGAATGGAATTGAATGGACTCGATTGGAATGGAAGATATTCAAATGAAGTGGACTCGGATGGAATGGAATTGAGTGATCTAGATTGGAATGGAATAGATTCTAAGAAATGGACTAGAATGGAATGGAATGGAATGGACCAGAAGCGAATGAGTTGGAATGGAACGGAATGTAAATTGAAAGGAATGGATGGAATGGAATGGAATGGAATGGAATGTCCTCAAAAGGAATTGAATGGAATGGAACGGATTCGACTGGAATGGAATGGAATGGACTCGAATGGAATAGAAGAAAGGAAAGGAATAGACTTGAACAGAATGGTATGGAATGGCATAGACTCGAATGGAAAGGACCCGAATGTAATGTCACGGAATCAAATGGAATGGACTCGAAAGGAATGGAATGGAATTGACTCGAATGAAATTGAATGGAATGGATGGCTTGAGTGGAATAGAATGGAAAGGACTCGAAAGGAATGGTGTGGAATGGAAGGGATTTGAATGGAATGGAGTGGATTGGACTCGAATGGAATGGAATTGAATGGACTCGATTGGAATGGAATGGAAACAATGGAATGAAATGGATTCGAAAGGATTGGACTGGAATGGAATGGTCACGGATGGAATGGAATGGAATGGAAAGGACTCGAATGAAATACAACGGAATTTAATCGAATGGACTCTAATGTAACGGAATGTTGTGGATCCAATGGAATAAAATGGACTATAACACGAATGGAATGGACTCGAATAAATATGGAATGGAATGGAACGGATCTAAAGGTGATAGAATGGAATGGACTCGAATGGAATGGAATGGAATCGGATGGAATGGAAAGGAATGGAATGGATTCAAATGTAATAGAATGGAGTGGACTCGAATGGAATCGAATGGGATGCAGTCGAATGAAATGGAATGGAATGGAATGGATTCAAATGTAATAGAATGGAATGTACTCGAATGGAATGGAAGGGTATTGGAATGGAATGGAATCAAATGGAATGGAATGGAAAGGAATAGAATGGACTGGAATGGAATGGAATGAAATGGAATGGAACTGACTTGAATGGAATAGAATGGAAAGGAATGGTATGAAATCAAAGGGAATGGAATGGAATGGTCTCGAATGGAATGGAATGGACTCGAATGGAAGGGAATGGAATTGAATAGAATGGACCCAATGGGATGGAATCTAATGGAATGGAATGGAATGGACTCGAATGTAATGGAATGGATTGGAATCAAATGCTATGGAATACAATGGAATTGACGGGAATGGAATGGAATAGAATTGACTTGAATGGAATTGAATGGAATGGACACGAATGGAACAGAATGAGGTGGACTCCAATGGAATGGTGTGGAACGGAATGGACACGAATGGAATGGAGTGGAATAGACTCAAATGGAATGGAACTGAAAGGACATGATTTGATGGAATGTGGTGGAATAAATTGGACTCGAATGGAATGGAATGGAATCGAATGGTCTCGGATGGAATGGAATGGAATGGCATGAAATGGAATGGAATGGTTTGGAATGGACAGAAATGGAAGGGAATGTATAAGACCAGAAAGGAATGCAATGGAATGCAATGGACTCGAATGGAATGAAATGGAATGGAACCTATTCGAATGGAATGGAATGGAATGGTCACGAATGGAATGAAATGGAATGGAAAGGACTCAAATGGAATGAAATGGACTCGAATGAAATACAACAGAATTGAATGAAATGGACTCTAATGGAATGTAAATTGTGGACTTGAATAGAAATAAATGGACTTTACTCAAATGGAATGGAATGAAATTGAATGGACTCGAACTGAATGGAATGGAATGGATGCGAATGGAATGAAATAGAATTGAATCGACTCGAAGGGATTGGAATGCAAAGCAATGGAATGGACTCGAATGGATTGGAATGGAATTGACTTCGAATGGAATTGAATGGATTGGAC
Organism: Homo sapiens; assembly: GCF_000001405.40. Lineage (NCBI taxonomy): Eukaryota > Metazoa > Chordata > Mammalia > Primates > Hominidae > Homo > Homo sapiens. The sequence continues at coordinate 179,976 of NW_021160000.1, forward strand.
CTGATACGGCATGGAATGGAATGCAATGGAATGGAATCAAATGGAATGGAATGGAATCGAATCGAATGGAATGGTATGGATTCGAATGGAATGGAATGCAATGGACTCGAATGAAATGGTGGAATGGAATGGACTCGAATGGAAAGGAATGGAATGTAACCAAATGATATAGAATGGAATGGAACGGACTCGAATGAAATGGAATGGGAATGGACTCGAATGGAATGGAATAGGAATGGAACAGATTCAAATGTAATAGAAGAGAATGGAATCTAATGGAATGGAGAGAAATGGAATGGACTCGAATGGAATGGAGTGCATTGGAAAGGAATAGATGGAATGGACAATGAATGGACTCGAATGGAATTGAATGTAACGGAATGGAATATACTCGAATGGAATGGAAGGTATTGGAATGTAATTTATGCGAATGGAAAGGAATGGAATGGAATGAAATGGATAATGGAATCGAATGGCATTGATTGGCATGGAATAGAATGGAATGGAATGGAATGGAATGGAGTGGAATCGACTGGAATGGAATGGAATGAAATGGAATAGAATGGACTTGAATGAAATAGAATGGAATGGAATGGAAATGGAATGGAAAGGAATGGATTAGAAGGGAATGGAATGAAATGGACTCGAATGGAATGGAATGGACTAGAAAGGTAAGGATGAATTGTATGTAATAGAATGGACCCTAATGGAATGGAATCTAAGGAATGGAATCGAATGGAATTGAATGGAATGGAATGTGACTCGATTGGAATGGAACAGAATGGAATGGACTCGAATGGAATGGAATGGAATGGAATTGACTAGAAAGGAATTGAAAGGAATGGACACGAATGGAATAGAATGTGATGGACTCGAATGGAATGGTGTTGAATGGAATGGACTTTAATGGAATGGAGTGTTATGGACTCGAGTGGATTGGAATTGAATGGACTCTTCTGGAATGGAATGGATTGGAATGAAATGGACTAGAATGGAATGGAATGGAATGGAACGGAACAGAATGAATTGGAATGGAATGGAACGGACTCGAATGGAATGGAAAGGAATGGAATGGAATGGAATGGAATGGAATAGAATGTACTGCAATGGAATGGAGTGGAATGGAACAGACTCCAATGGATTGGAATGGAATGGATTCGAATTGAATAGAAAGGAATGGACTTGAATGGAATGGAATGGAATGGCATAGAATCCAAGGAGTGACTGGAATGGACAAGAATGTAACGGCATGGAATCAAATGGAATGGAGTTGAATGGAATGGACCCGAATGTATGTCATGAGGAATCAAATGGAATCGACTCGAACAGAATGGAATGGAATGGAATGGACTGGGATGGAATGGAATGGAATGGAGTGGTATGGAAGGAAAAGGAATGGAATTGGAATGGACTCAAACGGAATGGAATGGAATTGAATGGACTCAAAAGGAATGGAATTGAATGGAATTCAATGGAATGGAATGGACTCGAAAGGAATGGAATTGAAGGAATGCAAAGGCATTCAATGGAATGGAATGGAATGGAAGGAGATGGATTGGACTCGAATGGAATGGAGTGGAATGGGCTCGAATGGAAATAAATAGAATGGACTCGAATGGAATGGAACGGGATGGAACAGATTCACATGTAATAGAAGAGAATGGACTCGCATAGACTGGCGTGGAATGGAATAGATTGGAATGGAATGGAGTGCAATGGAAACGAATAGAAAGGAATGGAAATGAATGGACTCGCATGGAATGGAATGTAACAGAATGGAATGTACTCGAATGGAATGGAAGGCAATGGAATGAAATTTATTCGAATGGAAAGGAATGGAATGGAATGGAATGGAATGGAATGGAATGGAATAGAATAGAAGGGAATAGAAAGGAATGGAATGGAATGAAATGTAATGGACTGAACTTAAAATGGAATAGAATGAAATGGAGTGGATAGGAATAGAAGGGAATGGAATGGACACGAATGGAATGGAATGGACTCGAAAGGAAGGGATGGAATGTAAAAGTTTGGACTCTAATGGAAGGGAATCTAATGGAATTGAATGGACTTGAATGGAATGGAATGGAATGGACTCGAATGGAATGGAATGCAATTGAATGGACTCAAATGGAATGGAATGCAATTGAGTAGAAAATAATTGAATGGCATGGACTAGAATGTAATAGAATGTAATGGACTCCAGTGGAAATTGTCGAATGGAATGGACTCATATGGAATGGAGTGGAATGGACTAGAATGGAATGGAATTGAATGGACTCGATTGGAATGGAAGATATTCTAATGAAGTGCACTCAAATGGAATGGAATTGAGTGATCTCGATTGGAATGGAATAGATTCTAAGAAATGGACTAGAATGGTATGGACCAGAACCGAATGAGTTGGAATGGAATGGAATGTAATTGAAAGGAATGGAATGGAATGGAATGGATTGTCCTCAAAGGGAATTGAATGGAATGGAACGGATTCGAATGGAATGGAATGGAATGTACTCGAATGGAATAGAAAGAATGGAAAGGAATAGACTTGAACAGAATGGAATGGAATGGCATAGACTCGAATGGAATGGACCCGAATGTAATGTCATGGAATAAATGGAATGGACTCGAATGGAATGGAATGGAATTGACTCGAATGAAATTGAATGGAATGGACTTGAGTGCAATAGAATGGAAAGGACTCGAAAGGAATGGTGTGGAATGGAGGGGATGTGAATGGAATGGAGTGATTGGACTCGATTGGAATGGAATTGAATGGACTCGATTGGAATGGAATACAATGGAATGAAATGGATTCGAAAGGAATGGACTGGAATGGAATGGTCACGGATGGAATGAAATGGAATGGAAAGGACTCGAATGAAATACAACGGAATTTAATCGAATGGACTCTAATGTAACGGAATGTTGTGGACTCCAATGGAATAAAAAGGACTATACACGAATGGAATGGACTCGAAGGGAATGGAATGGAATGCAACGGATCCAAAGGTAATAGAATGGAATGGACTCGAATGGAATGGAATGGACTCGGATGAATTGAAAGGAATGGAATGGATTCAAATGTAATAGAATGGATTGGACTCTAATGGAATCGAATGGGATGCACTCGAATGGAATGGAATGGAATGGACTCAAATGTAATAGAATGGAATGTATTGGAAAGGAATGGAAGGTAATGGAAAGGAATGGAATGAAACGGAATGGAATGGAAAGGAATAGAATGGACTGTAATGGAATGGAATGAAATGGAATGGAACTGTCTTGAATGGTATAGAATGGAATGGAATGGTATGAAATCAAAGGGAATGGAATGGAATGGTCTCAAATGGAATGGAATGGACTTGAATGGAAGGGAATGGAATTTAATAGAATGGACCCAATGGGATGGAATCTAATGGAGTGGAATGGAATGGACTCGAATGGAATGGAATGGATTGGAATCAAATGCTATGGAATGCAATGGAATGGACTGGAATGGAATGGCATAGAATTGACTTGAATGGAATTGAATGGAATGGACACGAATGGAACAGAATGGGATGGACTCCAATGGAATGGTGTGGAACGGAATGGACACGAATGGAATGGAGTGGAATAGACTCAAATGGAATGGAACTGAAGGGACATGATTTGTATGGAATGTAGTGGAATAAATTGGACTCGAATGGAATGGAATGGAATCGAATGGTCTCGGATGGAATGGAATGGAATGGAATGGAATGGTTTGGAATGGACAGAAATGGAAGGGAATGGATAGGACCAGAAAGGAATGGAAGGGAATGCAATGGACTAGAATGGAATGAAATGGAATGGAACCTATTCGAATGGAATGGAATGGTCACGAATGGAATGAAGTGGAATGGAAAGGACTCAAATGGAATGGAATGGACTCGAATGAAATACAACAGAATTGAATGAAATGGACTCTAATGGAATGTAATGTTGTGGACTTGAATGGAATAAAATGGACTTTACTCAAATGGAATGGAATGAAATTGAATGGACTCGAACTGAATGGAATGGAATGGATGTGAATGGAATGAAATGGAATTGAATCGACTCGAAGGGATTGGAATGCAAAGCAATGGAATGGACTCGAATGGATTGGAATGGAATTGACTCGAATGGAATTGAATGGATTGGACCTGAATGGCATGGAATGGAATGCAATGGAATGGAATCAAATGGAATGGAATGGAATCGAATCGAATGGAATGGTATGGATTCGAATGGAATGGAATGCAATGGACTCGAATGAAATGTGTTGGAATGGAATGGACTCGAATGGAAAGGAATGGAATGTAACCAAGTGGTATAGAATGGAATGGAATGGACTCGAATGAAATGGACTCGAATGGAATGGAATAGGATGGAACAGATTCAAATGTAATAGAAGAGAATGGACCCTAATGGAATGGAGAGAAATGGAATGGAGAGAAATGGAATGGACTCGAATGGAATAGAGTGCATGGGAAACGAATAGATGGAAAGGAAATGAATGGAGTCGAAAGGAATTGAATGTAACGGAATGTAATGTACTCGAATGGAATGGAAGGTAATGGAATGTAATTTATGCGAATTGAAAGGAATGGAATGGAATGAAATGGAATGGAATCGAATGGCATTGAATTGCATGGAATAGAATGGAATGGAATGGAATGGAATGGAATAGAATGGACTTGAATGAAATAGAATGGAATGGAATGGAATGGAATGGAATGGAATGGATTCGAAGGGAATGGAATGAAATGGACTAGAATGGAATGGAATGGAATGGAACGGAACAGAATGAATTGGAATGGAATGGATTGGACTCCAATGGAATGGAATGGAATGGAATGAAATGGAATAGAATGTACTGCAATGGAATGGGGTGGAATGGAACAGACTCCAATGGATTGGAATGGAATGGATTCGAATTGAATAGAAAGGAATGGAAAGGAATGGACTTGAATGGAATGGAGTGGAATGGCATAGAATCCAGAGGAGTGGACTGGAATGGAAAAGAATGTAATGGCGTGGAATCAAATGGAATGGAGTTGAATGGAATGGACCCGAATGTATTGTCATGGAATCAAATGGAATCGACTCGAACAGAATGGAATGGAATGGAATGGACTGGGATGGAATGGAATGGAATGGAATGGTATGGAAGGTAAAGGAATGGAATGGAATGGACTGAAACGGAATGGAATGGAATTGAATGGACTCAAAAGGAATGGAATTGAATGGAATTCAATGGAATAGAATGGACTCGAAATGAATGGAATTGAATGGAATGCAAAGGCATTCAATGGAATGGAATGGAATGGAATGAAAGGGAATGAATTGGACTTGAATGGAATAGAGTGGAATGGGCTCGATTGGAAAGAAATAGAATGGACTCGAACGGAATGGAACGGGATGGAACAGATTCACATGTAATAGAAGAGAATGGATTCGCATGGACTGGCGTGGAATGGAATGGATTGGAATGGAATGGAGTGCAATGGAAACGAATAGAAAGGAATGGAAATGTATGGACTCGCATGAATGGAATGTAACAGAATGGAATGTACTCGAATGGAATGGAAGGTAATGGAATGAAATTTATAAGAATGGAAAGGAATGGATAGAATGGAATGGAATGGAATGGAATGGAAAGGAATGGATTCGAAGGGAATGGAATGAAATGGACTCGAATGCAATGGAATGGACTAGAATGGAAGGGCATGTAATGTAATACAATGTACCCTAATGGAATGGAATCTAATGGAATGGAATCGAATGGAATTGAATGGAATGGAATTGACTCGATTGCAATGGAACACAATGGAATGGACTCGAATGGAATGGAATGAAATGGAATTGACAAGAAAGGAATTGAAAGGAATGGACACGAACGGAATAGAATGTGATGGACTCGAATGGAATGGTGTTGAATGGAATGGACTTTAACGGAATGGAGTGTGATGGACTCGAATGGATTGGAATTGAATGGACTCTTCTGGAATGGAATGGACTGGAATGAAACGGATCAGAATGAACTGGAATGGATTGGAACGGACTCGAATGGAATGGAATGGAATGGAATGGAATGGAATGGAATGAAATGGAATAGAATGTACTGCAATGGAGTGAGTGGAATGGAACAGACTCCAATGGATTGGAATGGAATGGATTCGAATTGAATAGAAAGGAATGGAAAAGAATGGACTTGAATGGAATGGAATGGAATGGCATAGAATCCAAAGGAGTGGACTGGAATGGACAAGAATGTAACGGCGTGGAATCAAATGGAATGGAGTTGAATGGAATGGACCCGAATGTATGTCATGGAATCAAATGTAATCGAATCGAACAGAATGGAATGGAATGGAATGACTGGGATGGAATGGAATGGAATGGAATGGAATGGAATGGAATGGTATGGAAGGAAAAGGAATGGAATGGAATGGACTGAAACGGAATGGAATGGAGTTGAATGGACTCAAAAGGAATGGAATTGAATGGAATTCAATGGAATGGAATGGACTCGAAAGGAATGGAATTGAATGGAATGCAAAGGCATTCAATGGAATGGAAAGGAATGGAATGGAAGGGAATGGATTGGACTCGAATGGAATGGAGTGGAATGGGCTCGAATGGAAAGAAATAGAATGGACTCGAATGGAATGGAACGGGATGGAACAGATTCACATGTAATAGAAGAAATGGACTCGCATGGACTGGCGTGGAATGGAATGGATTGGAATGGAATGGAGTGCAATGGAAACGAATAGAAAGGAATGGAAATGAATGGACTCGCATGGAATGGAATGTAACAGAATAGAATGTACTCGAATGGAATGGAAGGTAATGGAATGAAATTTATTCGAATGGAAAGAAATGGAATAGAATGGAATGGAAGGGAATGGAAGGGAATGGAACGGAATAGAATAGAATGGAATAGAAAGAAATGGAATGGAATGGAATGAAATGTAATGGACTGGACTTAAAATGGAATAGAATGGAATGGAATGGAAAGGACTAGAAGGGAATGGAATGGAATGGACACGAATGGAATGGAATGGACTAGAAAGGAAGGGGATGGAATGTAACAGAATGGACTCTAATGGAAGGGAATCTAATGGAATTGAATGGACTTGAATGGAATGGACTCGAATGGAATGGAATGCAATCGAATGGACTCAAATGGAATGGAATGCAATTGAGTAGGAAATAATTGAATGGCATGGACTAGAATGTAATAGAATGTAATGGACTCCAGTGGAAAGTTGTCGAATGGAATGGACTCATATGGAATGGAGTGGAATGGACTAGAATAGAATGGAATTTAATGGACGCGATTGGAATGGAAGATTATCTAATGAAGTGGACTCGAATGGAATGGAATTGAGTGATCTCGATTGGAATGGAATAGATTCTAAGAAATGGACTAGAATGGAATGGAATGGAATTTACCAGAACCGAATGAGTTGGAATGGAATGGAATGTAATTGAAAGGAATGGAATGGAATGGAATGGAATGGAATGTCCTCAAAGGGAATTGAATGGAATGGAACGGATTCGAATGGAATGGAAAGGAATGGACTCGAGTGAATAGAAAGAATGGAAAGGAATAGACTTGAACAGAATGGAATGGAATGGCATAGACTCGAATGGAATGGACCCGAATGTAATGTCATGGAATCAAATGGAATGGACTCGAATGGAATGGAATGGAATTGACTCGAATGAAATTGAATGGAATGGACTTGAGTGGAATAGAATGGAAAGGACTCGAAAGGAATGGTGTGGAATGGAGGGATGCGAACGGAATGGAGTGGATTGGACTCGAATGGAATGGAATTGAATGGACTCGATTGGAATGGAATACAATGGAATGAAATGGATTCGAAAGGAATGGACTGGAATGGAATGGTCACGGATGGAATGGAATGGAATGGAAAGGACTCGAATGAAATACAACGGAATTTAATCGAATGGACTCTAATGTAACGGAATGTTGTGGACTCCAATGGAATAAAATGGACTATACACGAATGGAATGGACTCGAAGGGAATGGAATGGAATGGAACGGATCCAAAGGTAATAGAATGGAATGGACTCGAATCGAATGGAATGGACTTGGATGGAATGGAAAGGAATGGAATGGATTCAAATGTAATAGAATGGATTGAACTCGAAAGGAATCGAATGGGATGCACTCGAATGAAATGGAATAGAAAGGAATGGACTCAAATGTAATAGAATGGAATGTACTGGAATGGAATGGAAGGTAATGGAAAGGAATGGAATCAAATGGAATGGAATGGAATGGAATGCAAAGGAATAGAATGGACTGGAATGGAATGGAATGAAATGGAATGGAACTGACTTGAATGGAATAGAACGGAATGGAATGGTATGAAATCAAAGGGAATGGAATGGAATGGTCTCGAACGGAATGGAATGGACTCGAATGGAAGGGCATGTAATGTAATAGAATGGCCCCTAATGAAATGGAATCTAATGGAATGGAATCAAATTGAATTGAATGGAATTGAATTGACACGATTGGAATGAAACACAATGGAATGGTCTCGAATGGAATGGAATGGAATGGAATTGACTAGAAAGGAATTGAAAGGAATGGACACGAATGGTATAGAATGTGTTGGACTTGAATGTAATGGTGTTGAATGGAATGGACTTTAATGGAATGGAGTGTTATGGACTCGAATGGATTGGAATTGAATGGACTCTTCTGGAATGGAATGGATTGGAATGAAATGGACTAGAATGGAATGGAATGGAATGGAACAGAAGAGAATGAATTGGAATGGAATGGAATGGACTCGAATGGAATGGAAGATGGAATGGAATGGAATGAAATGGAATAGAATGTACTGCAATGGAATGGAGTGGAATGGAACAGACTCCAATGGATTGGAATGGAATGGATTCGAATTGAATAGAAAGGAATGGAAAGGAATGGACTTGAATGGAATGGAATGGAATGGCATAGAATCCAAAGAGTGGACTGGAATGGACAAGAATGTAATGGCGTGGAATCAAATGGAATGGAGTTGAATGGAATGGAACCGAATGTATGTCATGGAATGAAATGGAATCGACTCGAACAGAATGGAATGGAATGGAATGCACTGGGATGGAATGGAATGGAATGGAATGGTATGGAAGGAAAAGGAATGGAATGGAATGGACTCAAACGGAATGGAATTGAAAGGAATTCAATGGAATGGAATGGACTCGAAAGGAATGGAATTGAATGGAATGCAAAGGCAATCAATGGAATGGAATGGAATGGAATGAAAGGGAATGGATTGGACTCGAATGGAATAGAGTGGAATGGGCTCGAATGGAAAGAAATAGAATGGACTCGAACGGAATGGAACGGGATGGAACAGATTCACATGTAATAGAAGAGAATGGATTCGCATGGACTGGCGTGGAATGGAATGGATTGGAATGGAATGGAGTGCAATGGAAACGAATAGAAAGGAATGGAAATGAATGGACTCGCATGGAATGGAATGTAACAGAATGGAATGTACTCGAATGGAATGGAAGGTAATGGAATGAAATTTATAAGAATGGAAAGGAATGGAATAGAATGGAATGGAATGGAATGGAATGGAAAGGAATGGATTCGAAGGGAATGGAATGAAATGGACTCGAATGCAATGGAATGGACTAGAATGGAAGGGCATGTAATGTAATAGAATGGACCCTAATGGAATGGAATCTAATGGAATGGAATCGAATGAATTGAATGAATGGAATTGACTCGATTGCAATGGAACACAATGGAATGGACTCGAATGGAATGGAATGGAATGGAATTGACTAGAAAGGAATTGATAGGAATGGACACGAATGGAATAGAATGTGATGGACTCAAATGGAATGGTGTTGAATGGAATGCACTTTAATGGAATGGAGTGTTATGGACTCGAATGGATTGGAATTGAATGGACTCTTCTGGAATGGAATGGATTGGAATGAAATGGACTAGAATGGAATGAAATGGAATGGAACGGAACAGAATGAATTGGAATGGAATGGAACGGACTCGAAAGGAATGGAATGGAATGGAATGGAATGGAATGAAATGGAATAGAATGTACTGCAATGGAATGGAGTGGAATGGAACAGACTTCAATGGATTGGAATGGAATGGTTTCGAATTGAATAGAAAGGAATGGAAAGGAATGGACTTTAATGGAATGGAATGGAATGGCATAGAATCCAAAGGAGTGGACTGGAATGGACAAGAATGTAATGGCGTGGAATCAAATGGAATGGAGTTGAATGGAATGGAACCGAATGTATGTCATGGAATCAAATGGAATCGACTCGAACAGAATGGAATGGAATGGAATGGACTGGGATGGAATGGAATGGAATGGTATGGAAGGAAAAGGAATGGAATGGAATGGACTCAAACGGAATGAAATGGAGTTGAATGGACTCAAAAGGAATGGAAATAAATGGAATTCAATGGAATGGAGCGGACTCGAAAGGAATGGAATTGAATGGAATGCAAAGGCATTCAATGGAATGGAATGGAATGGAAGGGAATGGATTGGACTCAAATGGAATGGAGTGGAATGGGCTCGAATGGAAGTTAATAGAATGGACTCGAATGGAATGGAACGGGATGGAACAGATTCACATGTAATAGAAGAGAATGGACTCGCATGGACTGGCGTGGAATGGAAAGGATTCGAATGGAATGGAGTGCAATGGAAACGAATAGAAAGGAATGGAAATGAATGGATTCGCATGGAATGGAATGTAACAGAATGGAATGTACTCGAATGGAATGGAAGGTAATGGAATGAAATTTATTCGAATGGAAAGGAATGGAATAGAATGGAATGGAATGGAATGGAATGGATTGGAATAGAATGGAATAGAATAGATTGGAATAGAAAGGAATGGAATGGAATGGAATCAAATGTAATGGACTGGACTTAAAATGGAATAGAATGGAATGGAATGGAATTGAATGGAATATAATAGAATGGAATAGAAAGGAATGGAATGGAATGGAATGAAAGGTAATGGACTGGACTTAAAATGGAATAGAATGGAATGGAATGGAAAGGACTAGAAGGGAATGGAATGGAATGGACACGAATGGAATGGAATGGACTCGAAAGGAAGGGGATGGAATGTAATAGAATGGACTGTAATGGAAGGGAATCTAATGGAATTGAATGGACTTGAATGGAATGGAATGGAATGGACTCGAATGGAATGGAATGCAATCGAATGGACTCAAATGGAATGGAATGCAATTGAATAGAAAATAACTGAATGGCATGGACTAGAATGTAATAGAATGTAATGGACTCCAGGGGAAAGTTGTCGAATGGAATGGACTCATATGGAATGGAGTGGAATGGACTAGAATGGAATGGAATTGAATGGACTCGATTGGAATGGAAGATATTCTAATGAAGTGGACTCGAATGGAATGGAATTGAGTGATCTCGATTGGAATGGAATAGATTCTAAGAAATGGACTAGAATGGAATGGAATGGAATGGACCAGAACCGAAAAGAGTTGGAATGGAATGGAATGGAAGTAATTGAAAGGAATGGAATGGAATGGAATGGAATGTCCTCAAAAGGAATTGAATAGAATGGAACGGATTCGAAGGGAATGGAATGGAATGGACTCGAATGAAATAGAAAGAATGGAAAGGAATAGACTTGAAAAAAATGGAATGGAATGGCATAGACTCGAATGGAATGGACCCGAATGTAATGTCATGGAATCAAATGGAATGGACTCGAATGGAATGGAATGGAATTGACTCGAATGAAATTGAATGGAATGGACTTGAATGGAATAGAATGGAAAGGACTCGAAAGGAAGGGTGTGGAAAGGAAGGGATTCGAATGGAATGGAGTGGATTGACTCGAATGGAATGGAATTGAATGGACTCGATTGGAATGGAATACAATGGAATGAAATGGATTCGAAACAATGGACTGAATGGAATGTTCACGGATGGAATGGAATGGAATGGAAAGGACTCGAATGAAATACAACGGAATTTAATCGAATGGACTCTAATGTAATGGAATGTTGTGGACTCCAGTGAATAAATGGACTATACACGAATGGAATGGACTCGAATGGAATGGAATGGAACGGAACGGATCCAAAGGTCATAGAATGGAATGGACTCGAATGGAATGGAATGGACTCGGATGGAATGGAAAGGAATGGAATGGATTCAAATGTAATAGAATGGATTGGACTCGAATGGAATCGAATGGGATGCAGTCGAATGAAATGGAATGGAATGGAATGGATTCACATGTAATAGAATGGAATGTACTCGAATGGAATGGAAGGTAATGGAATGGAATGGAATCAAATGGAAGAAGGAAGGAAAAAAGGACAGCAATGGAATGGAATGAAATGGAATGGAACTGACTTGAATGGAATAGAATGGAATGGAATGGTATGAAATCAAAGAGAATGGAATGGAATGGTCTCGAGTGGAATGGAATGGACTCGAATGGAAGGGAATGGAATTTAATAGAATGAACCCAATGGGATGGAATCTAATGGAATGGAATGGAATGGACTCGAATGGAATGGAATGGATTGGAATCAAATGCTATGGAATGCAATGGAATGGACTGGAATGGAATGGAATAGAATTGACTTGAATGGAATTGAATGGAATGGACACGAATGGAACAGAATGGGATGGACTCCAATGGAATGGTGTGGAACGGAATGGACACGAAAGGAATGGAGTGGAATAGACTCAAATGGAATGGAACTGAAGGACATGATTTGTATGAATGTAGTGGATAAATTGGACTCGAATGGAATGGAATGTAACGAATGGTCTCGAATGGAATGGAATGGAATGGACTGTTTTGGAATGGACAGAAATGGAAGGGAATGGATAGGACCAGAAAGGAATGGAATGGAGTGCAATGGACTCGAATGGAATGAAATGAATGGAACCTATTTGAATGGAATGGAATGGAGTGGTCACGAATGAATGAAATGGAATGGAAAGGACTCAAAGGAATGGAATGGAATGGACTCGAATGAAATACAACAGAATTGAATGAAATGGACTCTAATGGAATGTAATGTTGTGGACTTGAATGGAATAAAATGGACTTTACTCAAATGGAATGGAATGAAATTGAATGGAACTCGAACTGATGAATGGAATGGATGCGAATGGAATGAAATGGAATTGAATCGACTCGAAGGGATTGGAATGCAAAGCAATGGAATGGACTCGAATGGAATTGGAGAGGAATTGACTCGAATGGAATTGAATGGATTGGACCTGAATGGCATGGAATGGAATGCAATGGAATGGAATCAAATGGAATGGAATGGAATCGAATCGAATGGAATGGTATGGATTCGAATGGAATGGAATGCAATGGACACGAATGAAATGAGTTGGAATGGAATGGACTCGAATGAAAGGAATGGAATGTAACCAAATGGTATAGAATGGAATGGAATGGACTCGAATGAAATGGAATGGAATGGACTCGAATGGAATGGAATAGGATGGAACAGATTCAAATGTAATAGAAGAGAATGGACTCTAATTGAATGGAGAGAAATGGAATGGACTCGAATGGAATGGAGTGCATTGGAAAAGAATACACGGAATGGAAATGAATGGACTCGAATGGAATTGAATGTAACGGAATGGAATGTACTCGAATGGAATGGAAGGTAAAGGAATGTAATTTATGCGAATGGAAAGGAATGGAATGGAATGAAATGGAATGGAATCGAATGGCATTGAATGGCATGGAATAGAATGGAATGGAATGGAATGGAGTGGAATCGACTGGAATGGAAAGGAATGAAGTGGAATAGAATGGACTTGAATGAAATAGAATGGAATGGAATGGAATGGAATGGAATAGAATGGAATGGAATGGAATGGAATGGAAAGGAATGGATTCGAAGGGAATGGAATGAAATGGACTCGAATGGAATGGAATGGACTAGAAAGGAAGGGCATGTAATGTAATACAATGGACCCTAGTGGAATGGAACTAATGGAATGGAATCGAATGGAATTGAATGGAATGGAATTGACTCGATTGGAATGGAACACAATGGAATGGATTCGAATGGAATGGAGTGCAATGGAAACGAATAGAAAGGAATGGAAATGAATGGACTCGCATGAATGGAATGTAACAGAATGGAATGTACTCGAATGGAATGGAATGTAATGGAATGAAATTTATTCGAATGGAAAGGAATGGATAGAATGGAATGGAATGGATGGAGATGGAATGGAATGGATTGGAATTGAAGGAATAGAATAGATTGGAATAGAAGGAATGGAATGGAAGGAATGAATGTAATGACTGGACTTAAAATGGAATAGAATGGAATGGAATGGAATGGAATTGAATGGAATAGAATAGAATGGAATAGAAAGGAATGGAATGGAATGGAATGAAGGTAATGGAATGGACTTAAAATGGAATAGAATGGAATGGAATGGAAAGGACTAAAGGGAATGGAATGGAATGGACACGATTGAATGGAATGGACTCGAAAGGAAGGGGATGGAATGTAATAGAATGGATCTAATGGAAGGGAATCTAATGGAATTGAATGGACTTGAATGGAATGGAATGGAATGGAATGGACTCGAATAAAATGGAATGCAATAGAATGGACTCAAATGGAATGGAATGAAATTGAGTAGAAAATAATTTAATGGCATGGAATAGAATGTAATAGAATGTAATGGACTCCAGGGAAAGTTGTCGAATGGAAGGACTGATATGGAATGGAGTGGAATGGACTCGAATGGAATGGAACTGAATGGACTCGATTGGAATGGAAGATATTCTAATCAAGTGGACTCGAATGGAATGGAATTGAGTGATCTAATGGAATAGATTCTATGAAATGGACTAGAATGGAATGGAATGGAATGGACCAGAACCGTAGTTGAGTGGAATGGAATGGAATGAAAGGAAAGGAATGGAATGGAATGCAATGGACTCGAAAGATGAAATGCAATGGAACCTATTCGAATGGAATGGAATGGAATGGTCACGACTGGAATGAAATGGAATGGAAAGGACTCAAATGGAATGGAATGGAATGGAATGGACTCGAATGAAATACAACAGAATTGAATGAAATGGACTCTAATGGAATGTAATGTTGTGGACTTGAATGGAATAAAATGGACTTTACTCAAATGGAATGGAATGAAATTGAATGGACTCGAACTGAATGGAATGGAATGGATGCGAATGGAAGAAATGGAATTGAATCGACTCGAAGGGATTGGAATGCAAAGCAATGGAATGGACTCGAATGGATTGGAATGGAATTGACTCGAATGGAATTGAATGGATTGGACCTGAATGGCATGGAATGGAATGCAATGAATGGAATCAAATGGAAGGAATGGAATCGAATCGAATGGAATGGTATGGATTCGAATGGAATGGAATGCAATGGACTCGAATGAAATGGGTTGGAATGGAATGGACTCGAATGGAAATGGAATGTAACCAAATGGTATAGAATGGAATGGAATGGACTCGAATGAAATGGAATGGAATGGACTCGAATGGAATGGAATAGGATGGAACAGATTCAAATGTAATAGAAGAGAATGGACTCTAATGGAATGGAGAGAAATGGAATGGACTCGAATGGAATGGAGTGCATTGGAAACGAATAGATGGAATGGAAATGAATGGACTCGAATGGAATTGAATGTAACGGAATGGAATGTACTCGAATGGAATGGAAGGTAATGGAATGTAATTTATGCGAATGGAAAGGAATGGTATGGAATGAAATGGAATAGAATCGAATGGCATTGAATGGTATGGAATAGAATGGAATGGAATGGAATGGAGTGGAATCCATTGGAATGGAATGGAATGAAATGGAATAGAATGGACTTGAATGAAAGAGAATGGAATGGAATGGAATGGAAAGGAAATGGATTCGAAGGGAATGGAATGAAATGGACTCGAATGGAATGGAATGGACTAGAAAGAAAGGGCATGTACTGTAATAGAATGGACCCAATGGAATGGAATCTAATGGAAGGAATCGAATGGAATTGAATGGAATGGAATTGACTCGATTGGAATGGAAACCAATGGAATGGACTCGAATGGAATGGAATGGAATGGAATTGACTAGAAAGGAATTGAAAGGAATGGACACGAATGGAATAGAATGGATGGTCTCGAATGGAATGGTGTTGAATGCAATGGACTTTAATGGAATGGAGTGTTATGGACTCGAATGGATTAGAATTGAATGGACTCTTCTGAATGGAATGGATTGGAATGAAATGGACTAGAATGGAAAGAATGGAATGGAACGGAAGAGAATGAACTGGAATGGAATGGAACGGACTCGAATGGAATGGAATGGAATGGAATGGAATGAAATGGAATAGAATGTACTGCAATGGAATGGAGTGGAATGGAACAGACTCCAATGGATTGGAATGGAATGGATTCGAATTGAATAGAAAGGAATGGAAAGGAATGGACTTGAATGGAATGGAATGGAATGGCATAGAATCCAAAGGAGTGGACTGGAATGGACAAGAATGTAACGGCGTGGAAATGAATGGAGTTGAATGGAATGGACCCGAATGTATGTCATGGAATCAAATGGAATCGACTCGAACAGAATGGAATGGAATGGAATGGACTGGGATGGAATAGAATGGAATGGAATGGTATGGAAGTAAAAGGAATGGAATGGAATGGACTGAAACGGAATGGAATGGAATTCAATGGACTCAAAAGGAATGGAATTGAATGGAATTCAATGGAATGGAATGGACTCGAAAGGAATGGAATTGAATGGAATGCAAAGGCATTCAATGGAATGGAATGGAATGGAAGGGAATGGATTGGACTCGAATGGAATGGAGTATGGAGAAGGATGATGGGGATGGAACAGATTCACATGTAATAGAAGAGAATGGACTCGCATGGACTGGCGTGGAATGGAATGGATTGGAATGGAATGGATTGCAATGGAAACGAATAGAAAGGAATGGAAAGAATTGAGCTGGAATGAAAGTAACAGGATGGAATGTACTCGAAAGGAATAGAAGTTAATGGAATGAAATTTATTCGAATGGAAAGGAATGGAATAGAATGGAATGGAATGGAATGGAATGGAATGGAGGAAGGACAGAATAGAATGGAATAGAAAGGAATGGAATGGAATGGGAAGAATGTAATGGACTGGACTTAAAATGGAATAGAATGGAATGGAATGGAAAGGACTAGAAGGGAATGGAATGGAATGAGACACGAATGGAATGGAATGGACTCGAAAGGAAGGGGATGGAATGTAATAGAATGGACTCTAATGGAAGGGAATCTAATGGAATTGAATGGACTTGAATGGAATGGAATGGAATGGACTCGAATGGAATGGAATGCAATCGAATGCACTCAAATGGAATGGAATGCAATTGAGTAGAAAAATATGAATGGCATGGACTAGAATGTAATAGAATGTAATGGACTCCAGTGGAAAGAGTTGTCGAATGGAATGGACTCATATGGAATGGAGTGGAATGGACTAGAATGGAATGGAATTGAATGGACTCGATTGGAATGGAAGATATTCAATAAGTGGACTCGGATGGAATGGAATTGAGTGATCTAGATTGGAATGGAATAGATTCTAAGAAATGGACTGAATGATGATGGAATGGACCAGAAGCGAATGAGGGATGGAGACGGAATGTAATGAAAGGAATGGAATGGAAGGAATGGAATGGAATGGAATGTCCTCAAAGAGAATTGAATGGAATGGAACGGATTCGACTGGAATGGAATGGAAGGACTCGAAGGAAGAAAGAAAGGAAAGGAATAGACTTGAACAGAAGGTATGGAATGGCATAGCTCGAATGGAAAGGACCCGAAGTAATGTCACGGAATCAAATGGAATGGACTCGAAAGGAATGGAAGGAATTGACTCGAATGAAATTGAATGGAATGGACTTGAGTGGAATAGAATGAAAGAGACTCGAAAGGAATGGTGTGGAATGGAAGGGATTTGAATGGAATGGAGTGATTGGACTCGAATGGAATGGAATTGAATGGACTCGATTGGAATGGAATGGAATACAATGGAATGAAATGGATTCGAAAGGATTGGACTGAAGGAAGGTCACGGATGGAATGGAATGAATGGAAAGGACTCGAATGAAATACAACGGAATTTAATCGAATGGACTCTAATGTAACGGAATGTTTGGACTCCAATGGAATAAAATGGACTATACACGAATGGAATGGACTCGAATAAAATGGAATGGAATGGAACGGATCTAAAGGTGAATGATAGAAGACGGGATGAAATTGGAAAAGGAATGAATGGATTCAAATGTAATAGAATGGAGTGGACTCGAATGGAATCGAATGGGATGCAGTCGAATGAAGGAATGGAATGAATGGATTCAAATGTAATAGAAGGAATGTACTCGAATGGAATGGAAGGTATTGGAATGAGGATGGAATGGAATGGAAAGGAATAGAATGGACTGGAATGGAATGGAATGAAATGGAATGGAACTGACTTGAATGGAATAGAATGGAAAGGATGGATGAAATCAAAGGGAATGGAATGGAATGGTCTCGAATGGAATGGAATGGACTCGAATGGAAGGGAATGGAATTGAATAGAATGACCCAATGGGATGAATCTAATGGAATGGAATGGAATGGACTCGAATGTAATGGAAGGATGTGAGGACAGGAATGGAATGGATATAGAATTGACTGAATGGAATTGATGGAATGGACACGAATGGAACAGAATGGTGGATCCAATGGAATGGTGGTGTGAACGAATGGACACGAATGGATGGAGTGGAATAGACTCAAATGGAATGGAACTGAAAGGACATGATTTGTATGGAAGTCTGGTGGAATAAATTGGACTCGAATGGAATGGAATGGAATCGAATGGTCTCGGATGGAATGGAATGGAATGGCATGAAATGGAATGGAATGGTTTGAATGGACAGAAATGGAAGGGAATGATAAGACCAGAAAGGAATGCAATGGAATGCAATGGACTCGAAATGAGAATGAAGGAACCTATTCGAATGGAATGGAATGGAATGGTCACGAATGGAATGAAATGGAATGGAAAGGACTCAAATGGAATGAAATGGACTCGAATGAAATACAACAGAATTGAATGAAATGGACTCTAATGGAATGTAAAGTTGTGGACTTGAATAGAATAAAATGGACTTTACTCAAATGGAATGGAATGAAATTGAATGGACTCGAACTGAATGGAATGGAATGGATGCGAATGGAATGAAATAGAATTGAATCGACTCGAAGGGATTGGAATGCAAAGCAATGGAATGGACTCGAATGGATTGGAATGGAATTGACTCGAATGGAATTGAATGGATTGGACCTGAACGGCATGGAATGGAATGCAATGGAATGGAATCAAATGGAATGGAATGGAATCGAATCGAATGGAATGGTATGGATTCGAATGGAATGGAATGCAATGGACTCGAATGAAATGGGTTGGAATGGAATGGACTCGAATGGAAAGGAATGGAATGTAACCAAATGATAAGAATGGAATGGAACGGACTCGAATGAAATGGAATGGAATGGACTCGAATGGAATGGAATAGGATGGAACAGATTCAAATGTAATAGAAGAGAATGGAATCTAATGGAATGGAGAGAAATGGAATGGACTCGAATGGAATGGAGTGCATTGGAAAGGAATAGATGGAATGGACATGAATGGACTCGAATGGAATTGAATGTAACGGAATGGAATATACTCGAATGGAATGGAAGGTATTGGAATGTAATTTAGCGAATGGAAAGGAATGGAATGGAATGAAATGGAATGGAATCGAATGGCATTGATTGGCATGGAATAGAATGGAATGGAATGGAATGGAAGGAGTGGAATCGACTGGAATGGAATGGAATGAAATGGAATAGAATGGACTTGAATGAAATAGAATGGAATGGAATGGAATGGAATGGAAAGGAATGGATTAGAAGGGAATGGAATGAAATGGACTCGAATGGAATGGAATGGACAGAAAGGTAGGAAATGTTATGTAATAGAATGGACCCTAATGGAATGGAATATAATGGAATGAGAATCGAATGGAATTGAATGGAAGAATTGACTCGATTGGAATGGAACACAATGGAATGGACTCGAATGGAATGGAATGGAATGGAATTGACTAGAAAGGAATTGAAAGGAATGGACACGAATGGAATAGAATGTGATGGACTCGAATGGAATGGTGTTGAATGGAATGGACTTTAATGGAATGGAGTGTTATGGACTCGAGTGGATTGGAATTGAATGGACTCTTCTGGAATGGAATGGAGATTGGAATGAGGACTAGAATGGAATGGAATGGAATGGAACGGAACAGAATGAATTGGAATGGAATGGAACGGCACTCGATGGAATGGAAAGGATGGAATGGAATGGAATGGAATGGAATAGAATGTACTGCAATGGAATGGAGTGGAATGGAACAGACTCCAATGGATTGGAATGGAATGGATTCGAATTGAATAGAAAGGAATGGACTTGAATGGAATGGAATGGAATGGCATAGAATCCAAAGGAGTGGACTGGAATGGACAAGAATGTAACGGCATGGAATCAAATGGAATGGAGTTGAATGGAATGGACCCGAATGTATGTCATGGAATCAAATGGAATCGACTCGAACAGAATGGAATGGAATGGAATGGACTGGGATGGAATGGAATGGAATGGAGTGGTATGGAAGGAAAAGGAATGGAATGGAATGGACTCAAACGGAATGGAATGGAATTGAATGGACTCAAAAGGAATGGAATTGAATGGAATTCAATGGAATGGAATGGACTCGAAAGGAATGGAATTGAATGGAATGCAAAGGCATTCAATGGAATGGAATGGAATGGAAGGGAATGGATTGGACTCGAATGGAATGGAGTGGAATGGGCTCGAATGGAAATAAATAGAATGGACTCGAATGGAATGGAACGGGATGGAACAGATTCACATGTAATAGAAGAGAATGGACTCGCATAGACTGGCGTGGAATGGAATAGATTGGAATGGAATGGAGTGCAATGGAAACGAATAGAAAGGAATGGAAATGAATGGACTCGCATGGAATGGAATGTAACAGAATGGAATGTACTCGAATGGAATGGAAGGCAATGGAATGAAATTTATTCGAATGGAAAGGAATGGAATGGAATGGAATGGAAGGAATGGAATGGAATAGAATAGAAGGGAATAGAAAGGAATGGAATGGAATGAAATGTAATGGACTGAACTTAAAATGGAATAGAATGAAATGGAGTGGATAGGAATAGAAGGGAATGGAATGGACACGAATGGAATGGAATGGACTCGAAAGGAAGGGGATGGAATGTAAAAGTTTGGACTCTAATGGAAGGGAATCTAATGGAATTGAATGGACTTGAATGGAATGGAATGGAATGGACTCGAATGGAATGGAATGCAATTGAATGGACTCAAATGGAATGGAATGCAATTGAGTAGAAAATAATTGAATGGCATGGACTAGAATGTAATAGAATGTAATGGACTCCAGTGGAAAGTTGTCGAATGGAATGGACTCATATGGAATGGAGTGGAATGGACTAGAATGGAATGGAATTGAATGGACTCGATTGGAATGGAAGATATTCTAATGAAGTGCACTCAATGGAATGGAATTGAGTGATCTCGATTGGAATGGAATAGATTCTAAGAAATGGACTAGAATGGTATGGACCAGAACCGAATGAGTTGGAATGGAATGGAATGTAATTGAAAGGAATGGAATGGAATGGAATGGATTGTCCTCAAAGGGAATTGAATGGAATGGAACGGATTCGAATGGAATGGAATGGAATGTACTCGAATGGAATAGAAAGAATGGAAAGGAATAGACTTGAACAGAATGGAATGGAATGGCATAGACTCGAATGGAATGGACCCGAATGTAATGTCATGGAATCAAATGGAATGGACTCGAATGGAATGGAATGGAATTGACTCGAATGAAATTGAATGGAATGGACTTGAGTGCAATAGAATGGAAAGGACTCGAAAGGAATGGTGTGGAATGGAGGGGATGTGAATGGAATGGAGTGGATTGGACTCGATTGGAATGGAATTGAATGGACTCGATTGGAATGGAATACAATGGAATGAAATGGATTCGAAAGGAATGGACTGGAATGGAATGGTCACGGATGGAATGAAATGGAATGGAAAGGACTCGAATGAAATACAACGGAATTTAATCGAATGGACTCTAATGTAACGGAATGTTGTGGACTCCAATGGAATAAAAAGGACTATACACGAATGGAATGGACTCGAAGGGAATGGAATGGAATGCAACGGATCCAAAGGTAATAGAATGGAATGGACTCGAATGGAATGGAATGGACTCGGATGGAATTGAAAGGAATGGAATGGATTCAAATGTAATAGAATGGATTGGACTCTAATGGAATCGAATGGGATGCACTCGAATGGAATGGAATGGAATGGACTCAAATGTAATAGAATGGAATGTATTGGAAAGGAATGGAAGGTAATGGAAAGGAATGGAATGAAACGGAATGGAATGGAAAGGAATAGAATGGACTGTAATGGAATGGAATGAAATGGAATGGAACTGTCTTGAATGGTATAGAATGGAATGGAATGGTATGAAATCAAAGGAATGGAATGGAATGGTCTCAAATGGAATGGAATGGACTTGAATGGAAGGGAATGGAATTTAATAGAATGGACCCAATGGGATGGAATCTAATGGAGTGGAATGGAATGGACTCGAATGGAATGGAATGGATTGGAATCAAATGCTATGGAATGCAATGGAATGGACTGGAATGGAATGGCATAGAATTGACTTGAATGGAATTGAATGGAATGGACACGAATGGAACAGAATGGGATGGACTCCAATGGAATGGTGGGAACGGAATGGACACGAATGGAATGGAGTGGAATAGACTCAAATGGAATGGAACTGAAGGGACATGATTTGTATGGAATGTAGTGGAATAAATTGGACTCGAATGGAATGGAATGGAATCGAATGGTCTCGGATGGAATGGAATGGAATGGAATGGAATGGTTTGGAATGGACAGAAATGGAAGGGAATGGATAGGACCAGAAAGGAATGGAAGGAATGCAATGGACTAGAATGGAATGAAATGGAATGGAACCTATTCGAATGGAATGGAATGGTCACGAATGGAATGAAGTGGAATGGAAAGGACTCAAATGGAATGGAATGGACTCGAATGAAATACAACAGAATTGAATGAAATGGACTCTAATGGAATGTAATGTTGTGGACTTGAATGGAATAAAATGGACTTTACTCAAATGGAATGGAATGAAATTGAATGGACTCGAACTGAATGGAATGGAATGGATGTGAATGGAATGAAATGGAATTGAATCGACTCGAAGGGATTGGAATGCAAAGCAATGGAATGGACTCGAATGGATTGGAATGGAATTGACTCGAATGGAATTGAATGGATTGGACCTGAATGGCATGGAATGGAATGCAATGGAATGGAATCAAATGGAATGGAATGGAATCGAATCGAATGGAATGGTATGGATTCGAATGGAATGGAATGCAATGGACTCGAATGAAATGTGTTGGAATGGAATGGACTCGAATGGAAAGGAATGGAATGTAACCAAGTGGTATAGAATGGAATGGAATGGACTCGAATGAAATGGACTCGAATGGAATGGAATAGGATGGAACAGATTCAAATGTAATAGAAGAGAATGGACCCTAATGGAATGGAGAGAAATGGAATGGAGAGAAATGGAATGGACTCGAATGGAATAGAGTGCATGGGAAACGAATAGATGGAAAGGAAATGAATGGAGTCGAAAGGAATTGAATGTAACGGAATGTAATGTACTCGAATGGAATGGAAGGTAATGGAATGTAATTTATGCGAATTGAAAGGAATGGAATGGAATGAAATGGAATGGAATCGAATGGCATTGAATTGCATGGAATAGAATGGAATGGAATGGAATGGAATGGAATAGAATGGACTTGAATGAAATAGAATGGAATGGAATGGAATGGAATGGAATGGAATGGATTCGAAGGGAATGGAATGAAATGGACTAGAATGGAATGGAATGGAATGGAACGGAACAGAATGAATTGGAATGGAATGGATTGGACTCCAATGGAAGATGGAATGGAATGAAATGGAATAGAATGTACTGCAATGGAATGGGGTGGAATGGAACAGACTCCAATGGATTGGAATGGAATGGATTCGAATTGAATAGAAAGGAATGGAAAGGAATGGACTTGAATGGAATGGAGTGGAATGGCATAGAATCCAGAGGAGTGGACTGGAATGGAAAAGAATGTAATGGCGTGGAATCAAATGGAATGGAGTTGAATGGAATGGACCCGAATGTATGTCATGGAATCAAATGGAATCGACTCGAACAGAATGGAATGGAATGGAATGGACTGGGATGGAATGGAATGGAATGGAATGGTATGGAAGGTAAAGGAATGGAATGGAATGGACTGAAACGGAATGGAATGGAATTGAATGGACTCAAAAGGAATGGAATTGAATGGAATTCAATGGAATAGAATGGACTCGAAATGAATGGAATTGAATGGAATGCAAAGGCATTCAATGGAATGGAATGGAATGGAATGAAAGGGAATGAATTGGACTTGAATGGAATAGAGTGGAATGGGCTCGATTGGAAAGAAATAGAATGGACTCGAACGGAATGGAACGGGATGGAACAGATTCACATGTAATAGAAGAGAATGGATTCGCATGGACTGGCGTGGAATGGAATGGATTGGAATGGAATGGAGTGCAATGGAAACGAATAGAAAGGAATGGAAATGTATGGACTCGCATGGAATGGAATGTAACAGAATGGAATGTACTCGAATGGAATGGAAGGTAATGGAATGAAATTTATAAGAATGGAAAGGAATGGAATAGAATGGAATGGAATGGAATGGAATGGAAAGGAATGGATTCGAAGGGAATGGAATGAAATGGACTCGAATGCAATGGAATGGACTAGAATGGAAGGGCATGTAATGTAATACAATGTACCCTAATGGAATGGAATCTAATGGAATGGAATCGAATGGAATTGAATGGAATGGAATTGACTCGATTGCAATGGAACACAATGGAATGGACTCGAATGGAATGGAATGAAATGGAATTGACAAGAAAGGAATTGAAAGGAATGGACACGAACGGAATAGAATGTGATGGACTCGAATGGAATGGTGTTGAATGGAATGGACTTTAACGGAATGGAGTGTGATGGACTCGAATGGATTGGAATTGAATGGACTCTTCTGGAATGGAATGGACTGGAATGAAACGGATCAGAATGAACTGGAATGGATTGGAACGGACTCGAATGGAATGGAATGGAATGGAATGGAATGGAATGGAATGAAATGGAATAGAATGTACTGCAATGGAGTGGAGTGGAATGGAACAGACTCCAATGGATTGGAATGGAATGGATTCGAATTGAATAGAAAGGAATGGAAAAGAATGGACTTGAATGGAATGGAATGGAATGGCATAGAATCCAAAGGAGTGGACTGGAATGGACAAGAATGTAACGGCGTGGAATCAAATGGAATGGAGTTGAATGGAATGGACCCGAATGTATGTCATGGAATCAAATGTAATCGAATCGAACAGAATGGAATGGAATGGAATGGACTGGGATGGAATGGAATGGAATGGAATGGAATGGAATGGAATGGTATGGAAGGAAAAGGAATGGAATGGAATGGACTGAAACGGAATGGAATGGAGTTGAATGGACTCAAAAGGAATGGAATTGAATGGAATTCAATGGAATGGAATGGACTCGAAAGGAATGGAATTGAATGGAATGCAAAGGCATTCAATGGAATGGAAAGGAATGGAATGGAAGGGAATGGATTGGACTCGAATGGAATGGAGTGGAATGGGCTCGAATGGAAAGAAATAGAATGGACTCGAATGGAATGGAACGGGATGGAACAGATTCACATGTAATAGAAGAGAATGGACTCGCATGGACTGGCGTGGAATGGAATGGATTGGAATGGAATGGAGTGCAATGGAAACGAATAGAAAGGAATGGAAATGAATGGACTCGCATGGAATGGAATGTAACAGAATAGAATGTACTCGAATGGAATGGAAGGTAATGGAATGAAATTTATTCGAATGGAAAGAAATGGAATAGAATGGAATGGAAGGGAATGGAAGGGAATGGAACGGAATAGAATAGAATGGAATAGAAAGAAATGGAATGGAATGGAATGAAATGTAATGGACTGGACTTAAAATGGAATAGAATGGAATGGAATGGAAAGGACTAGAAGGGAATGGAATGGAATGGACACGAATGGAATGGAATGGACTAGAAGGAAGGGGATGGAATGTAACAGAATGGACTCTAATGGAAGGGAATCTAATGGAATTGAATGGACTTGAATGGAATGGACTCGAATGGAATGGAATGCAATCGAATGGACTCAAATGGAATGGAATGCAATTGAGTAGGAAATAATTGAATGGCATGGACTAGAATGTAATAGAATGTAATGGACTCCAGTGGAAAGTTGTCGAATGGAATGGACTCATATGGAATGGAGTGGAATGGACTAGAATAGAATGGAATTTAATGGACGCGATTGGAATGGAAGATATTCTAATGAAGTGGACTCGAATGGAATGGAATTGAGTGATCTCGATTGGAATGGAATAGATTCTAAGAAATGGACTAGAATGGAATGGAATGGAATTTACCAGAACCGAATGAGTTGGAATGGAATGGAATGTAATTGAAAGGAATGGAATGGAATGGAATGGAATGGAATGTCCTCAAAGGGAATTGAATGGAATGGAACGGATTCGAATGGAATGGAAAGGAATGGACTCGAGTGGAATAGAAAGAATGGAAAGGAATAGACTTGAACAGAATGGAATGGAATGGCATAGACTCGAATGGAATGGACCCGAATGTAATGTCATGGAATCAAATGGAATGGACTCGAATGGAATGGAATGGAATTGACTCGAATGAAATTGAATGGAATGGACTTGAGTGGAATAGAATGGAAAGGACTCGAAAGGAATGGTGTGGAATGGAGGGGATGCGAACGGAATGGAGTGGATTGGACTCGAATGGAATGGAATTGAATGGACTCGATTGGAATGGAATACAATGGAATGAAATGGATTCGAAAGGAATGGACTGGAATGGAATGGTCACGGATGGAATGGAATGGAATGGAAAGGACTCGAATGAAATACAACGGAATTTAATCGAATGGACTCTAATGTAACGGAATGTTGTGGACTCCAATGGAATAAAATGGACTATACACCGAATGAATGGACTCGAAGGGAATGGAATGGAAGCGGATCCAAAGGTAATAGAATGGAATGGACTCGAATCGAATGGAATGGACTTGGATGGAATGGAAAGGAATGGAATGGATTCAAATGTAATAGAATGGATTGAACTCGAAAGGAATCGAATGGGATGCACTCGAATGAAATGGAATAGAAAGGAATGGACTCAAATGTAATAGAATGGAATGTACTGGAATGGAATGGAAGGTAATGGAAAGGAATGGAATCAAATGGAATGGAATGGAATGGAATGCAAAGGAATAGAATGGACTGGAATGGAATGGAATGAAATGGAATGGAACTGACTTGAATGGAATAGAACGGAATGGAATGGTATGAAATCAAAGGGAAGGAATGGAATGGTCTCGAACGGAATGGAATGGACTCGAATGGAAGGGCATGTAATGTAATAGAATGGCCCCTAATGAAATGGAATCTAATGGAATGGAATCAAATTGAATTGAATGGAATTGAATTGACACGATTGGAATGAAACACAATGGAATGGTCTCGAATGGAATGGAATGGAATGGAATTGACTAGAAAGGAATTGAAAGGAATGGACACGAATGGTATAGAATGTGTTGGACTTGAATGTAATGGTGTTGAATGGAATGGACTTTAATGGAATGGAGTGTTATGGACTCGAATGGATTGGAATTGAATGGACTCTTCTGGAATGGAATGGATTGGAATGAAATGGACTAGAATGGAATGGAATGGAATGGAACAGAAGAGAATGAATTGGAATGGAATGGAATGGACTCGAATGGAATGGAATGGAATGGAATGGAATGGAATGAAATGGAATAGAATGTACTGCAATGGAATGGAGTGGAATGGAACAGACTCCAATGGATTGGAATGGAATGGATTCGAATTGAATAGAAAGGAATGGAAAGGAATGGACTTGAATGGAATGGAATGGA
This sequence comes from Homo sapiens, assembly GCF_000001405.40. Lineage (NCBI taxonomy): Eukaryota > Metazoa > Chordata > Mammalia > Primates > Hominidae > Homo > Homo sapiens. Next base: position 208,453 of record NW_021160000.1, read on the forward strand.
ATGGCATAGAATCCAAAGGAGTGGACTGGAATGGACAAGAATGTAATGGCGTGGAATCAAATGGAATGGAGTTGAATGGAATGGAACCGAATGTATGTCATGGAATGAAATGGAATCGACTCGAACAGAATGGAATGGAATGGAATGCACTGGATGGAATGGAATGGAATGGAATGGTATGGAAGGAAAAGGAATGGAATGGAATGGACTCAAACGGAATGGAATTGAAAGGAATTCAATGGAATGGAATGGACTCGAAAGGAATGGAATTGAATGGAATGCAAAGGCAATCAATGGAATGGAATGGAATGGAATGAAAGGGAATGGATTGGACTCGAATGGAATAGAGTGGAATGGGCTCGAATGGAAAGAAATAGAATGGACTCGACGGAATGGAACGGGATGGAACAGATTCACATGTAATAGAAGAGAATGGATTCGCATGGACTGGCGTGGAATGGAATGGATTGGAATGGAATGGAGTGCAATGGAAACGAATAGAAAGGAATGGAAATGAATGGACTCGCATGGAATGGAATGTAACAGAATGGAATGTACTCGAATGGAATGGAAGGTAATGGAATGAAATTTATAAGAATGGAAAGGAATGGAATAGAATGGAATGGAATGGAATGGAATGGAAAGGAATGGATTCGAAGGGAATGGAATGAAATGGACTCGAATGCAATGGAATGGACTAGAATGGAAGGGCAGTAATGTAAGAATGGACCCTAATGGAATGGAATCTAATGGAATGGAATCGAATGGAATTGAATGGAATGGAATTGACTCGATTGCAATGGAACACAATGGAATGGACTCGAATGGAATGGAATGGAATGGAATTGACTAGAAAGGAATTGATAGGAATGGACACGAATGGAATAGAATGTGATGGACTCAAATGGAATGGTGTTGAATGGAATGCACTTTAATGGAATGGAGTGTTATGGACTCGAATGGATTGGAATTGAATGGACTCTTCTGGAATGGAATGGATTGGAATGAAATGGACTAGAATGGAATGAAATGGAATGGAACGGAACAGAATGAATTGGAATGGAATGGAACGGACTCGAAAGGAATGGAATGGAATGGAATGGAATGAAATGGAATAGAATGTACTGCAATGGAATGGAGTGGAATGGAACAGACTTCAATGGATTGGAATGGAATGGTTTCGAATTGAATAGAAAGGAATGGAAAGGAATGGACTTTAATGGAATGGAATGGAATGGCATAGAATCCAAAGGAGTGGACTGGAATGGACAAGAATGTAATGGCGTGGAATCAAATGGAATGGAGTTGAATGGAATGGAACCGAATGTATGTCATGGAATCAAATGGAATCGACTCGAACAGAATGGAATGGAATGGAATGGACTGGGATGGAATGGAATGGAATGGTATGGAAGGAAAAGGAATGGAATGGAATGGACTCAAACGGAATGAAATGGAGTTGAATGGACTCAAAAGGAATGGAAATAAATGGAATTCAATGGAATGGAGCGGACTCGAAAGGAATGGAATTGAATGGAATGCAAAGGCATTCAATGGAATGGAATGGAATGGAAGGGAATGGATTGGACTCAAATGGAATGGAGTGGAATGGGCTCGAATGGAAGTTAATAGAATGGACTCGAATGGAATGGAACGGGATGGAACAGATTCACATGTAATAGAAGAGAATGGACTCGCATGGACTGGCGTGGAATGGAAAGGATTCGAATGGAATGGAGTGCAATGGAAACGAATAGAAAGGAATGGAAATGAATGGATTCGCATGGAATGGAATGTAACAGAATGGAATGTACTCGAATGGAATGGAAGGTAATGGAATGAAATTTATTCGAATGGAAAGGAATGGAATAGAATGGAATGGAATGGAATGGAATGGATTGGAATAGAATGGAATAGAATAGATTGGAATAGAAAGGAATGGAATGGAATGGAATCAAATGTAATGGACTGGACTTAAAATGGAATAGAATGGAATGGAATGGAATTGAATGGAATATAATAGAATGGAATAGAAAGAATGGAATGAATGGAATGAAAATAGAAGAATGGAATGGAATGGAAGGACTGAAGAGAGGAAGGAATGACACGAATGGAATGGAATGGACTCGAAAGGAAGGGGATGGAATGTAAAAAGGACTGTAATGGAAGGGAATCTAATGGAATTGAATGGACTTGAATGGAATGGAATGGAATGGACTCGAATGGAATGGAATGCAATCGAATGGACTCAAATGGAATGGAATGCAATTGAATAGAAAATAACTGAATGGCATGGACTAGAATGTAATAGAATGTAATGGACTCCAGGGGAAAGTTGTCGAATGGAATGGACTCATATGGAATGGAGTGGAATGGACTAGAATGGAATGGAATTGAATGGACTCGATTGGAATGGAAGATATTCTAATGAAGTGGACTCGAATGGAATGGAATTGAGTGATCTCGATTGGAATGGAATAGATTCTAAGAAATGGACTAGAATGGAATGGAATGGAATGGACCAGAACCGAAAGAGTTGGAATGGAATGGAATGGAATGTAATTGAAAGGAATGGAATGGAATGGAATGGAATGTCCTCAAAAGGAATTGAATAGAATGGAACGGATTCGAAGGGAATGGAATGGAATGGACTCGAATGAAATAGAAAGAATGGAAAGGAATAGACTTGAAAAAAATGGAATGGAATGGCATAGACTCGAATGGAATGGACCCGAATGTAATGTCATGGAATCAAATGGAATGGACTCGAATGGAATGGAATGGAATTGACTCGAATGAAATTGAATGGAATGGACTTGAATGGAATAGAATGGAAAGGACTCGAAAGGAAGGGTGTGGAAAGGAAGGGATTCGAATGGAATGGAGTGGATTGGACTCGAATGGAATGGAATTGAATGGACTCGATTGGAATGGAATACAATGGAATGAAATGGATTCGAAAGCAATGGACTGGAATGGAATGTTCACGGATGGAATGGAATGGAATGGAAAGGACTCGAATGAAATACAACGGAATTTAATCGAATGGACTCTAATGTAATGGAATGTTGTGGACTCCAGTGGAATAAAATGGACTATACACGAATGGAATGGACTCGAATGGAATGGAATGGAACGGAACGGATCCAAAGGTCATAGAATGGAATGGACTCGAATGGAATGGAATGGACTCGGATGGAATGGAAAGGAATGGAATGGATTCAAATGTAATAGAATGGATTGGACTCGAATGGAATCGAATGGGATGCAGTCGAATGAAATGGAATGGAATGGAATGGATTCACATGTAATAGAATGGAATGTACTCGAATGGAATGGAAGGTAATGGAATGGAATGGAATCAAATGGAATGGAATGGAAAGGAAAAAATGGACAGCAATGGAATGGAATGAAATGGAATGGAACTGACTTGAATGGAATAGAATGGAATGGAATGGTATGAAATCAAAGAGAATGGAATGGAATGGTCTCGAGTGGAATGGAATGGACTCGAATGGAAGGGAATGGAATTTAATAGAATGAACCCAATGGGATGGAATCTAATGGAATGGAATGGAATGGACTCGAATGGAATGGAATGGATTGGAATCAAATGCTATGGAATGCAATGGAATGGACTGGAATGGAATGGAATAGAATTGACTTGAATGGAATTGAATGGAATGGACACGAATGGAACAGAATGGGATGGACTCCAATGGAATGGTGTGGAACGGAATGGACACGAAAGGAATGGAGTGGAATAGACTCAAATGGAATGGAACTGAAGGGACATGATTTGTATGGAATGTAGTGGAATAAATTGGACTCGAATGGAATGGAATGTAACGAATGGTCTCGAATGGAATGGAATGGAATGGACTGTTTTGGAATGGACAGAAATGGAAGGGAATGGATAGGACCAGAAAGGAATGGAATGGAGTGCAATGGACTCGAATGGAATGAAATGAAATGGAACCTATTTGAATGGAATGGAATGGAGTGGTCACGAATGGAATGAAATGGAATGGAAAGGACTCAAATGGAATGGAATGGAATGGACTCGAATGAAATACAACAGAATTGAATGAAATGGACTCTAATGGAATGTAATGTTGTGGACTTGAATGGAATAAAATGGACTTTACTCAAATGGAATGGAATGAAATTGAATGGACTCGAACTGAATGGAATGGAATGGATGCGAATGGAATGAAATGGAATTGAATCGACTCGAAGGGATTGGAATGCAAAGCAATGGAATGGACTCGAATGGATTGGAATGGAATTGACTCGAATGGAATTGAATGGATTGGACCTGAATGGCATGGAATGGAATGCAATGGAATGGAATCAAATGGAATGGAATGGAATCGAATCGAATGGAATGGTATGGATTCGAATGGAATGGAATGCAATGGACACGAATGAAATGAGTTGGAATGGAATGGACTCGAATGGAAAGGAATGGAATGTAACCAAATGGTATAGAATGGAATGGAATGGACTCGAATGAAATGGAATGGAATGGACTCGAATGGAATGGAATAGGATGGAACAGATTCAAATGTAATAGAAGAGAATGGACTCTAATTGAATGGAGAGAAATGGAATGGACTCGAATGGAATGGAGTGCATTGGAAAAGAATACACGGAATGGAAATGAATGGACTCGAATGGAATTGAATGTAACGGAATGGAATGTACTCGAATGGAATGGAAGGTAAAGGAATGTAATTTATGCGAATGGAAAGGAATGGAATGGAATGAAATGGAATGGAATCGAATGGCATTGAATGGCATGGAATAGAATGGAATGGAATGGAATGGAGTGGAATCGACTGGAATGGAAAGGAATGAAGTGGAATAGAATGGACTTGAATGAAATAGAATGGAATGGAATGGAATGGAATGGAATAGAATGGAATGGAATGGAATGGAATGGAAAGGAATGGATTCGAAGGGAATGGAATGAAATGGACTCGAATGGAATGGAATGGACTAGAAAGGAAGGGCATGTAATGTAATACAATGGACCCTAGTGGAATGGAATCTAATGGAATGGAATCGAATGGAATTGAATGGAATGGAATTGACTCGATTGGAATGGAACACAATGGAATGGATTCGAATGGAATGGAGTGCAATGGAAACGAATAGAAAGGAATGGAAATGAATGGACTCGCATGGAATGGAATGTAACAGAATGGAATGTACTCGAATGGAATGGAATGTAATGGAATGAAATTTATTCGAATGGAAAGGAATGGAATAGAATGGAATGGAATGGAATGGATTGGAATGGAATGGAATGGATTGGAATTGAATGGAATAGAATAGATTGGAATAGAAAGGAATGGAATGGAATGGAATGAAATGTAATGGACTGGACTTAAAATGGAATAGAATGGAATGGAATGGAATGGAATTGAATGGAATAGAATAGAATGGAATAGAAAGGAATGGAATGGAATGGAATGAAAGGTAATGGAATGGACTTAAAATGGAATAGAATGGAATGGAATGGAAAGGACTAGAAGGGAATGGAATGGAATGGACACGATTGGAATGGAATGGACTCGAAAGGAAGGGGATGGAATGTAATAGAATGGACTCTAATGGAAGGGAATCTAATGGAATTGAATGGACTTGAATGGAATGGAATGGAATGGAATGGACTCGAATAAAATGGAATGCAATAGAATGGACTCAAATGGAATGGAATGAAATTGAGTAGAAAATAATTTAATGGCATGGAATAGAATGTAATAGAATGTAATGGACTCCAGGGGAAAGTTGTCGAATGGAATGGACTGATATGGAATGGAGTGGAATGGACTCGAATGGAATGGAACTGAATGGACTCGATTGGAATGGAAGATATTCTAATCAAGTGGACTCGAATGGAATGGAATTGAGTGATCTAGATTGGAATGGAATAGATTCTATGAAATGGACTAGAATGGAATGGAATGGAATGGACCAGAACCGTATGAGTTGGAATGGAATGGAATGGAATTGAAAGGAAAGGAATGGAATGGAATGCAATGGACTCGAAAGGAATGAAATGCAATGGAACCTATTCGAATGGAATGGAATGGAATGGTCACGACTGGAATGAAATGGAATGGAAAGGACTCAAATGGAATGGAATGGAATGGAATGGACTCGAATGAAATACAACAGAATTGAATGAAATGGACTCTAATGGAATGTAATGTTGTGGACTTGAATGGAATAAAATGGACTTTACTCAAATGGAATGGAATGAAATTGAATGGACTCGAACTGAATGGAATGGAATGGATGCGAATGGAATGAAATGGAATTGAATCGACTCGAAGGATTGGAATGCAAAGCAATGGAATGGACTCGAATGGATTGGAATGGAATTGACTCGAATGGAATTGAATGGATTGGACCTGAATGGCATGGAATGGAATGCAATGGAATGGAATCAAATGGAATGGAATGGAATCGAATCGAATGGAATGGTATGGATTCGAATGGAATGGAATGCAATGGACTCGAATGAAATGGGTTGGAATGGAATGGACTCGAATGGAAAGGAATGGAATGTAACCAAATGGTATAGAATGGAATGGAATGGACTCGAATGAAATGGAATGGAATGGACTCGAATGGAATGGAATAGGATGGAACAGATTCAAATGTAATAGAAGAGAATGGACTCTAATGGAATGGAGAGAAATGGAATGGACTCGAATGGAATGGAGTGCATTGGAAACGAATAGATGGAATGGAAATGAATGGACTCGAATGGAATTGAATGTAACGGAATGGAATGTACTCGAATGGAATGGAAGGTAATGGAATGTAATTTATGCGAATGGAAAGGAATGGTATGGAATGAAATGGAATAGAATCGAATGGCATTGAATGGTATGGAATAGAATGGAATGGAATGGAATGGAGTGGAATCCATTGGAATGGAATGGAATGAAATGGAATAGAATGGACTTGAATGAAAGAGAATGGAATGGAATGGAATGGAAAGGAAATGGATTCGAAGGGAATGGAATGAAATGGACTCGAATGGAATGGAATGGACTAGAAAGAAAGGGCATGTACTGTAATAGAATGGACCCTAATGGAATGGAATCTAATGGAATGGAATCGAATGGAATTGAATGGAATGGAATTGACTCGATTGGAATGGAAACCAATGGAATGGACTCGAATGGAATGGAATGGAATGGAATTGACTAGAAAGGAATTGAAAGGAATGGACACGAATGGAATAGAATGTGATGGTCTCGAATGGAATGGTGTTGAATGCAATGGACTTTAATGGAATGGAGTGTTATGGACTCGAATGGATTAGAATTGAATGGACTCTTCTGGAATGGAATGGATTGGAATGAAATGGACTAGAATGGAATGGAATGGAATGGAACGGAAGAGAATGAACTGGAATGGAATGGAACGGACTCGAATGGAATGGAATGGAATGGAATGGAATGAAATGGAATAGAATGTACTGCAATGGAATGGAGTGGAATGGAACAGACTCCAATGGATTGGAATGGAATGGATTCGAATTGAATAGAAAGGAATGGAAAGGAATGGACTTGAATGGAATGGAATGGAATGGCATAGAATCCAAAGGAGTGGACTGGAATGGACAAGAATGTAACGGCGTGGAATCAAATGGAATGGAGTTGAATGGAATGGACCCGAATGTATGTCATGGAATCAAATGGAATCGACTCGAACAGAATGGAATGGAATGGAATGGACTGGGATGGAATAGAATGGAATGGAATGGTATGGAAGTAAAAGGAATGGAATGGAATGGACTGAAACGGAATGGAATGGAATTCAATGGACTCAAAAGGAATGGAATTGAATGGAATTCAATGGAATGGAATGGACTCGAAAGGAATGGAATTGAATGGAATGCAAAGGCATTCAATGGAATGGAATGGAATGGAAGGGAATGGATTGGACTCGAATGGAATGGAGTGGAATGGATTCGAATGGAATGGAATGGGATGGAACAGATTCACATGTAATAGAAGAGAATGGACTCGCATGGACTGGCGTGGAATGGAATGGATTGGAATGGAATGGATTGCAATGGAAACGAATAGAAAGGAATGGAAATGAATGGACTCGCATGGAATGAAATGTAACAGGATGGAATGTACTCGAAAGGAATAGAAGTTAATGGAATGAAATTTATTCGAATGGAAAGGAATGGAATAGAATGGAATGGAATGGAATGGAATGGAATGGAATGGAATGGAACAGAATAGAATGGAATAGAAAGGAATGGAATGGAATGGAATGAAATGTAATGGACTGGACTTAAAATGGAATAGAATGGAATGGAATGGAAAGGACTAGAAGGGAATGGAATGGAATGGACACGAATGGAATGGAATGGACTCGAAAGGAAGGGGATGGAATGTAATAGAATGGACTCTAATGGAAGGGAATCTAATGGAATTGAATGGACTTGAATGGAATGGAATGGAATGGACTCGAATGGAATGGAATGCAATCGAATGCACTCAAATGGAATGGAATGCAATTGAGTAGAAAATAATTGAATGGCATGGACTAGAATGTAATAGAATGTAATGGACTCCAGTGGAAAGTTGTCGAATGGAATGGACTCATATGGAATGGAGTGGAATGGACTAGAATGGAATGGAATTGAATGGACTCGATTGGAATGGAAGATATTCAAATGAAGTGGACTCGGATGGAATGGAATTGAGTGATCTAGATTGGAATGGAATAGATTCTAAGAAATGGACTAGAATGGAATGGAATGGAATGGACCAGAAGCGAATGAGTTGGAATGGAACGGAATGTAATTGAAAGGAATGGAATGGAATGGAATGGAATGGAATGGAATGTCCTCAAAAGGAATTGAATGGAATGGAACGGATTCGACTGGAATGGAATGGAATGGACTCGAATGGAATAGAAAGAAAGGAAAGGAATAGACTTGAACAGAATGGTATGGAATGGCATAGACTCGAATGGAAAGGACCCGAATGTAATGTCACGGAATCAAATGGAATGGACTCGAAAGGAATGGAATGGAATTGACTCGAATGAAATTGAATGGAATGGACTTGAGTGGAATAGAATGGAAAGGACTCGAAAGGAATGGTGTGGAATGGAAGGGATTTGAATGGAATGGAGTGGATTGGACTCGAATGGAATGGAATTGAATGGACTCGATTGGAATGGAATGGAATACAATGGAATGAAATGGATTCGAAAGGATTGGACTGGAATGGAATGGTCACGGATGGAATGGAATGGAATGGAAAGGACTCGAATGAAATACAACGGAATTTAATCGAATGGACTCTAATGTAACGGAATGTTGTGGACTCCAATGGAATAAAATGGACTATACACGAATGGAATGGACTCGAATAAAATGGAATGGAATGGAACGGATCTAAAGGTGATAGAATGGAATGGACTCGAATGGAATGGAATGGAATCGGATGGAATGGAAAGGAATGGAATGGATTCAAATGTAATAGAATGGAGTGGACTCGAATGGAATCGAATGGGATGCAGTCGAATGAAATGGAATGGAATGGAATGGATTCAAATGTAATAGAATGGAATGTACTCGAATGGAATGGAAGGTATTGGAATGGAATGGAATCAAATGGAATGGAATGGAAAGGAATAGAATGGACTGGAATGGAATGGAATGAAATGGAATGGAACTGACTTGAATGGAATAGAATGGAAAGGAATGGTATGAAATCAAAGGGAATGGAATGGAATGGTCTCGAATGGAATGGAATGGACTCGAATGGAAGGGAATGGAATTGAATAGAATGGACCCAATGGGTGGAATCTAATGGAATGGAATGGAATGGACTCGAATGTAATGGAATGGATTGGAATCAAATGCTATGGAATACAATGGAATTGACGGGAATGGAATGGAATAGAATTGACTTGAATGGAATTGAATGGAATGGACACGAATGGAACAGAATGAGGTGGACTCCAATGGAATGGTGTGGAACGGAATGGACACGAATGGAATGGAGTGGAATAGACTCAAATGGAATGGAACTGAAAGGACATGATTTGTATGGAATGTGGTGGAATAAATTGGACTCGAATGGAATGGAATGGAATCGAATGGTCTCGGATGGAATGGAATGGAATGGCATGAAATGGAATGGAATGGTTTGGAATGGACAGAAATGGAAGGGAATGTATAAGACCAGAAAGGAATGCAATGGAATGCAATGGACTCGAATGGAATGAAATGGAATGGAACCTATTCGAATGGAATGGAATGGAATGGTCACGAATGGAATGAAATGGAATGGAAAGGACTCAAATGGAATGAAATGGACTCGAATGAAATACAACAGAATTGAATGAAATGGACTCTAATGGAATGTAAAGTTGTGGACTTGAATAGAATAAAATGGACTTTACTCAAATGGAATGGAATGAAATTGAATGGACTCGAACTGAATGGAATGGAATGGATGCGAATGGAATGAAATAGAATTGAATCGACTCGAAGGGATTGGAATGCAAAGCAATGGAATGGACTCGAATGGATTGGAATGGAATTGACTCGAATGGAATTGAATGGATTGGACCTGAACGGCATGGAATGGAATGCAATGGAATGGAATCAAATGGAATGGAATGGAATCGAATCGAATGGAATGGTATGGATTCGAATGGAATGGAATGCAATGGACTCGAATGAAATGGGTTGGAATGGAATGGACTCGAATGGAAAGGAATGGAATGTAACCAAATGATATAGAATGGAATGGAACGGACTCGAATGAAATGGAATGGAATGGACTCGAATGGAATGGAATAGGATGGAACAGATTCAAATGTAATAGAAGAGAATGGAATCTAATGGAATGGAGAGAAATGGAATGGACTCGAATGGAATGGAGTGCATTGGAAAGGAATAGATGGAATGGACATGAATGGACTCGAATGGAATTGAATGTAACGGAATGGAATATACTCGAATGGAATGGAAGGTATTGGAATGTAATTTATGCGAATGGAAAGGAATGGAATGGAATGAAATGGAATGGAATCGAATGGCATTGATTGGCATGGAATAGAATGGAATGGAATGGAATGGAATGGAGTGGAATCGACTGGAATGGAATGGAATGAAATGGAATAGAATGGACTTGAATGAAATAGAATGGAATGGAATGGAATGGAATGGAAAGGAATGGATTAGAAGGGAATGGAATGAAATGGACTCGAATGGAATGGAATGGACTAGAAAGGTAGGAAATGTTATGTAATAGAATGGACCCTAATGGAATGGAATCTAATGGAATGGAATCGAATGGAATTGAATGGAATGGAATTGACTCGATTGGAATGGAACACAATGGAATGGACTCGAATGGAATGGAATGGAATGGAATTGACTAGAAAGGAATTGAAAGGAATGGACACGAATGGAATAGAATGTGATGGACTCGAATGGAATGGTGTTGAATGGAATGGACTTTAATGGAATGGAGTGTTATGGACTCGAGTGGATTGGAATTGAATGGACTCTTCTGGAATGGAATGGATTGGAATGAAATGGACTAGAATGGAATGGAATGGAATGGAACGGAACAGAATGAATTGGAATGGAATGGAACGGACTCGAATGGAATGGAAAGGAATGGAATGGAATGGAATGGAATAGAATGTACTGCAATGGAATGGAGTGGAATGGAACAGACTCCAATGGATTGGAATGGAATGGATTCGAATTGAATAGAAAGGAATGGACTTGAATGGAATGGAATGGAATGGCATAGAATCCAAAGGAGTGGACTGGAATGGACAAGAATGTAACGGCATGGAATCAAATGGAATGGAGTTGAATGGAATGGACCCGAATGTATGTCATGGAATCAAATGGAATCGACTCGAACAGAATGGAATGGAATGGAATGGACTGGGATGGAATGGAATGGAATGGAGTGGTATGGAAGGAAAAGGAATGGAATGGAATGGACTCAAACGGAATGGAATGGAATTGAATGGACTCAAAAGGAATGGAATTGAATGGAATTCAATGGAATGGAATGGACTCGAAAGGAATGGAATTGAATGGAATGCAAAGGCATTCAATGGAATGGAATGGAATGGAAGGGAATGGATTGGACTCGAATGGAATGGAGTGGAATGGGCTCGAATGGAAATAAATAGAATGGACTCGAATGGAATGGAACGGGATGGAACAGATTCACATGTAATAGAAGAGAATGGACTCGCATAGACTGGCGTGGAATGGAATAGATTGGAATGGAATGGAGTGCAATGGAAACGAATAGAAAGGAATGGAAATGAATGGACTCGCATGGAATGGAATGTAACAGAATGGAATGTACTCGAATGGAATGGAAGGCAATGGAATGAAATTTATTCGAATGGAAAGGAATGGAATGGAATGGAATGGAATGGAATGGAATGGAATGGAATAGAATAGAAGGGAATAGAAAGGAATGGAATGGAATGAAATGTAATGGACTGAACTTAAAATGGAATAGAATGAAATGGAGTGGATAGGAATAGAAGGGAATGGAATGGACACGAATGGAATGGAATGGACTCGAAAGGAAGGGATGGAATGTAAAAGTTTGGACTCTAATGGAAGGGAATCTAATGGAATTGAATGGACTTGAATGGAATGGAATGGAATGGACTCGAATGGAATGGAATGCAATTGAATGGACTCAAATGGAATGGAATGCAATTGAGTAGAAAATAATTGAATGGCATGGACTAGAATGTAATAGAATGTAATGGACTCCAGTGGAAAGTTGTCGAATGGAATGGACTCATATGGAATGGAGTGGAATGGACTAGAATGGAATGGAATTGAATGGACTCGATTGGAATGGAAGATATTCTAATGAAGTGCACTCAAATGGAATGGAATTGAGTGATCTCGATTGGAATGGAATAGATTCTAAGAAATGGACTAGAATGGTATGGACCAGAACCGAATGAGTTGGAATGGAATGGAATGTAATTGAAAGGAATGGAATGGAATGGAATGGATTGTCCTCAAAGGGAATTGAATGGAATGGAACGGATTCGAATGGAATGGAATGGAATGTACTCGAATGGAATAGAAAGAATGGAAAGGAATAGACTTGAACAGAATGGAATGGAATGGCATAGACTCGAATGGAATGGACCCGAATGTAATGTCATGGAATCAAATGGAATGGACTCGAATGGAATGGAATGGAATTGACTCGAATGAAATTGAATGGAATGGACTTGAGTGCAATAGAATGGAAAGGACTCGAAAGGAATGGTGTGGAATGGAGGGGATGTGATAATGGAGTGGATTGGACTCGATTGGAATGGAATTGAATGGACTCGATTGGAATGGAATACAATGGAATGAAATGGATTCGAAAGGAATGGACTGGAATGGAATGGTCACGGATGGAATGAAATGGAATGGAAAGGACTCGAATGAAATACAACGGAATTTAATCGAATGGACTCTAATGTAACGGAATGTTGTGGACTCCAATGGAATAAAAAGGACTATACACGAATGGAATGGACTCGAAGGGAATGGAATGGAATGCAACGGATCCAAAGGTAATAGAATGGAATGGACTCGAATGGAATGGAATGGACTCGGATGGAATTGAAAGGAATGGAATGGATTCAAATGTAATAGAATGGATTGGACTCTAATGGAATCGAATGGGATGCACTCGAATGGAATGGAATGGAATGGACTCAAATGTAATAGAATGGAATGTATTGGAAAGGAATGGAAGGTAATGGAAAGGAATGGAATGAAACGGAATGGAATGGAAAGGAATAGAATGGACTGTAATGGAATGGAATGAAATGGAATGGAACTGTCTTGAATGGTATAGAATGGAATGGAATGGTATGAAATCAAAGGAATGGAATGGAATGGTCTCAAATGGAATGGAATGGACTTGAATGGAAGGGAATGGAATTTAATAGAATGGACCCAATGGGATGGAATCTAATGGAGTGGAATGGAATGGACTCGAATGGAATGGAATGGATTGGAATCAAATGCTATGGAATGCAATGGAATGGACTGGAATGGAATGGCATAGAATTGACTTGAATGGAATTGAATGGAATGGACACGAATGGAACAGAATGGGATGGACTCCAATGGAATGGTGTGGAACGGAATGGACACGAATGGAATGGAGTGGAATAGACTCAAATGGAATGGAACTGAAGGGACATGATTTGTATGGAATGTAGTGGAATAAATTGGACTCGAATGGAATGGAATGGAATCGAATGGTCTCGGATGGAATGGAATGGAATGGAATGGAATGGTTTGGAATGGACAGAAATGGAAGGGAATGGATAGGACCAGAAAGGAATGGAAGGGAATGCAATGGACTAGAATGGAATGAAATGGAATGGAACCTATTCGAATGGAATGGAATGGTCACGAATGGAATGAAGTGGAATGGAAAGGACTCAAATGGAATGGAATGGACTCGAATGAAATACAACAGAATTGAATGAAATGGACTCTAATGGAATGTAATGTTGTGGACTTGAATGGAATAAATGGACTTTACTCAAATGGAATGGAATGAAATTGAATGGACTCGAACTGAATGGAATGGAATGGATGTGAATGGAATGAAATGGAATTGAATCGACTCGAAGGGATTGGATGCAAAGCAATGGAATGGACTCGAATGGATTGGAATGGAATTGACTCGAATGGAATTGAATGGATTGGACCTGAATGGCATGGAATGGAATGCAATGGAATGGAATCAAATGGAATGGAATGGAATCGAATCGAATGGAATGGTATGGATTCGAATGGAATGGAATGCAATGGACTCGAATGAAATGTGTTGGAATGGAATGGACTCGAATGGAAAGGAATGGAATGTAACCAAGTGGTATAGAATGGAATGGAATGGACTCGAATGAAATGGACTCGAATGGAATGGAATAGGATGGAACAGATTCAAATGTAATAGAAGAGAATGGACCCTAATGGAATGGAGAGAAATGGAATGGAGAGAAATGGAATGGACTCGAATGGAATAGAGTGCATGGGAAACGAATAGATGGAAAGGAAATGAATGGAGTCGAAAGGAATTGAATGTAACGGAATGTAATGTACTCGAATGGAATGGAAGGTAATGGAATGTAATTTATGCGAATTGAAAGGAATGGAATGGAATGAAATGGAATGGAATCGAATGGCATTGAATTGCATGGAATAGAATGGAATGGAATGGAATGGAATGGAATAGAATGGACTTGAATGAAATAGTGAATGGAATGGAATGGAATGGAATGGAATGGATTCGAAGGGAATGGAATGAAATGGACTAGAATGGAATGGAATGGAATGGAACGGAACAGAATGAATTGGAATGGAATGGATTGGACTCCAATGGAATGGAATGGAATGGAATGAAATGAATAGAATGTACTGCAATGGAATGGGGTGGAATGGAACAGACTCCAATGGATTGGAATGGAATGGATTCGAATTGAATAGAAAGGAATGGAAAGGAATGGACTTGAATGGAATGGAGTGGAATGGCATAGAATCCAGAGGAGTGGACTGGAATGGAAAAGAATGTAATGGCGTGGAATCAAATGGAATGGAGTTGAATGGAATGGACCCGAATGTATGTCATGGAATCAAATGGAATCGACTCGAACAGAATGGAATGGAATGGAATGGACTGGGATGGAATGGAATGGAATGGAATGGTATGGAAGGTAAAGGAATGGAATGGAATGGACTGAAACGGAATGGAATGGAATTGAATGGACTCAAAAGGAATGGAATTGAATGGAATTCAATGGAATAGAATGGACTCGAAATGAATGGAATTGAATGGAATGCAAAGGCATTCAATGGAATGGAATGGAATGGAATGAAAGGGAATGAATTGGACTTGAATGGAATAGAGTGGAATGGGCTCGATTGGAAAGAATAGAATGGACTCGAACGGAATGGAACGGGATGGAACAGATTCACATGTAATAGAAGAGAATGGATTCGCATGGACTGGCGTGGAATGGAATGGATTGGAATGGAATGGAGTGCAATGGAAACGAATAGAAAGGAATGGAAATGTATGGACTCGCATGGAATGGAATGTAACAGAATGGAATGTACTCGAATGGAATGGAAGGTAATGGAATGAAATTTATAAGAATGGAAAGGAATGGAATAGAATGGAATGGAATGGAATGGAATGGAAAGGAATGGATTCGAAGGGAATGGAATGAAATGGACTCGAATGCAATGGAATGGACTAGAATGGAAGGGCATGTAATGTAATACAATGTACCCTAATGGAATGGAATCTAATGGAATGGAATCGAATGGAATTGAATGGAATGGAATTGACTCGATTGCAATGGAACACAATGGAATGGACTCGAATGGAATGGAATGAAATGGAATTGACAAGAAAGGAATTGAAAGGAATGGACACGAACGGAATAGAATGTGATGGACTCGAATGGAATGGTGTTGAATGGAATGGACTTTAACGGAATGGAGTGTGATGGACTCGAATGGATTGGAATTGAATGGACTCTTCTGGAATGGAATGGACTGGAATGAAACGGATCAGAATGAACTGGAATGGATTGGAACGGACTCGAATGGAATGGAATGGAATGGAATGGAATGGAATGGAATGAAATGGAATAGAATGTACTGCAATGGAGTGGAGTGGAATGGAACAGACTCCAATGGATTGGAATGGAATGGATTCGAATTGAATAGAAAGGAATGGAAAAGAATGGACTTGAATGGAATGGAATGGAATGGCATAGAATCCAAAGGAGTGGACTGGAATGGACAAGAATGTAACGCGTGGAATCAAATGGAATGGAGTTGAATGGAATGGACCCGAATGTATGTCATGGAATCAAATGTAATCGAATCGAACAGAATGGAATGGAATGGAATGGACTGGGATGGAATGGAATGGAATGGAATGGAATGGAATGGAGGTATGGAAGGAAAGGAATGGAATGGAATGGACTGAAACGGAATGGAATGGAGTTGAATGGACTCAAAAGGAATGGAATTGAATGGAATTCAATGGAATGGAATGGACTCGAAAGGAATGGAATTGAATGGAATGCAAAGGCATTCATGGAATGGAAAGGAATGGAATGGAAGGGAATGGATTGGACTCGAATGGAATGGAGTGGAATGGGCTCGAATGGAAAGAAATAGAATGGACTCGAATGGAATGGGGATGGAACAGATTCACATGTAATAGAAGAGAATGGACTCGCATGGACTGGCGTGGAATGGAATGGATTGGAATGGAATGGAGTGCAATGGAAACGAATAGAAAGGAATGGAAATGAATGGACTCGCATGGAATGGAATGTAACAGAATAGAATGTACTCGAATGGAATGGAAGGTAATGGAATGAAATTTATTCGAATGGAAAGAAATGGAATAGAATGGAATGGAAGGGAATGGAAGGGAATGGAACGGAATGAATAGAATGGAATAGAAAGAAATGGAATGGAATGGAATGAAATGTAATGGACTGGACTTAAAATGGAATAGAATGGAATGGAATGGAAAGGACTAGAAGGGAATGGAATGGAATGGACACGAATGGAATGGAATGGACTAGAAAGGAAGGGGATGGAATGTAACAGAATGGACTCTAATGGAAGGGAATCTAATGGAATTGAATGGACTTGAATGGAATGGACTCGAATGGAATGGAATGCAATCGAATGGACTCAAATGGAATGGAATGCAATTGAGTAGGAAATAATTGAATGGCATGGACTAGAATGTAATAGAATGTAATGGACTCCAGTGGAAAGTTGTCGAATGGAATGGACTCATATGGAATGGAGTGGAATGGACTAGAATAGAATGGAATTTAATGGACGCGATTGGAATGGAAGATATTCTAATGAAGTGGACTCGAATGGAATGGAATTGAGTGATCTCGATTGGAATGGAATAGATTCTAAGAAATGGACTAGAATGGAATGGAATGGAATTTACCAGAACCGAATGAGTTGGAATGGAATGGAATGTAATTGAAAGGAATGGAATGGAATGGAATGGAATGTCCTCAAAGGGAATTGAATGGAATGGAACGGATTCGAATGGAATGGAAAGGAATGGACTCGAGTGGAATAGAAAGAATGGAAAGGAATAGACTTGAACAGAATGGAATGGAATGGCATAGACTCGAATGGAATGGACCCGAATGTAATGTCATGGAATCAAATGGAATGGACTCGAATGGAATGGAATGGAATTGACTCGAATGAAATTGAATGGAATGGACTTGAGTGGAATAGAATGGAAAGGACTCGAAAGGAATGGTGTGGAATGGAGGGGATGCGAACGGAATGGAGTGGATTGGACTCGAATGGAATGGAATTGAATGGACTCGATTGGAATGGAATACAATGGAATGAAATGGATTCGAAAGGAATGGACTGGAATGGAATGGTCACGGATGGAATGGAATGGAATGGAAAGGACTCGAATGAAATACAACGGAATTTAATCGAATGGACTCTAATGTAACGGAATGTTGTGGACTCCAATGGAATAAAATGGACTATACACGAATGGAATGGACTCGAAGGAATGGAATGGAATGGAACGGATCCAAAGGTATAGAATGGAATGGACTCGAATCGAATGGAATGGACTTGGATGGAATGGAAAGGAATGGAATGGATTCAAATGTAATAGAATGGATTGAACTCGAAAGGAATCGAATGGGATGCACTCGAATGAAATGGAATAGAAAGGAATGGACTCAAATGTAATAGAATGGAATGTACTGGAATGGAATGGAAGGTAATGGAAAGGAATGGAATCAAATGGAATGGAATGGAATGGAATGCAAAGGAATAGAATGGACTGGAATGGAATGGAATGAAATGGAATGGAACTGACTTGAATGGAATAGAACGGAATGGAATGGTATGAAATCAAAGGGAATGGAATGGAATGGTCTCGAAGGAATGGAATGGACTCGAATGGAAGGGCATGTAATGTAATAGAATGGCCCCTAATGAAATGGAATCTAATGGAATGGAATCAAATTGAATTGAATGGAATTGAATTGACACGATTGGAATGAAACACAATGGAATGGTCTCGAATGGAATGGAATGGAATGGAATTGACTAGAAAGGAATTGAAAGGAATGGACACGAATGGTATAGAATGTGTTGGACTTGAATGTAATGGTGTTGAATGGAATGGACTTTAATGGAATGGAGTGTTATGGACTCGAATGGATTGGAATTGAATGGACTCTTCTGGAATGGAATGGATTGGAATGAATGGACTAGAATGGAATGGAATGGAATGGAACAGAAGAGAATGAAT
Source organism: Homo sapiens (assembly GCF_000001405.40). Taxonomy (NCBI): domain Eukaryota; kingdom Metazoa; phylum Chordata; class Mammalia; order Primates; family Hominidae; genus Homo; species Homo sapiens. The sequence goes on from NW_021160000.1 coordinate 227,877, forward strand.
TGGAATGGAATGGAATGGACTCGAATGGAATGGAATGGAATGGAATGGAATGGAATGAAATGGAATAGAATGTACTGCAATGGAATGGAGTGGAATGGAACAGACTCCAATGGATTGGAATGGAATGGATTCGAATTGAATAGAAAGGAATGGAAAGGAATGGACTTGAATGGAATGGAATGGAATGGCATAGAATCCAAAGGAGTGGACTGGAATGGACAAAATGTAATGGCGTGGAATCAAATGGAATGGAGTTGAATGGAATGGAACCGAATGTATGTCATGGAATGAAATGGAATCGACTCGAACAGAATGGAATGGAATGGAATGCACTGGGATGGAATGGAATGGAATGGAATGGTATGGAAGGAAAAGGAATGGAATGGAATGGACTCAAACGGAATGGAATTGAAAGGAATTCAATGGAATGGAATGGACTCGAAAGGAATGGAATTGAATGGAATGCAAAGGAATCAATGGAATGGAATGGAATGGAATGAAAGGGAATGGATTGACTCGAATGGAATAGAGTGGAATGGGCTCGAATGGAAAGAATAGAATGGACTCGAACGGAATGGAACGGGATGGAACAGATTCACATGTAATAGAAGAGAATGGATTCGCATGGACTGGCGTGGAATGGAATGGATTGGAATGGAATGGAGTGCAATGGAAACGAATAGAAAGGAATGGAAATGAATGGACTCGCATGGAATGGAATGTAACAGAATGGAATGTACTCGAATGGAATGGAAGGTAATGGAATGAAATTTATAAGAATGGAAAGGAATGGAATAGAATGGAATGGAATGGAATGGAATGGAAAGGAATGGATTCGAAGGGAATGGAATGAAATGGACTCGAATGCAATGGAATGGACTAGAATGGAAGGGCATGTAATGTAATAGAATGGACCCTAATGGAATGGAATCTAATGGAATGGAATCGAATGGAATTGAATGGAATGGAATTGACTCGATTGCAATGGAACACAATGGAATGGACTCGAATGGAATGGAATGGAATGGAATTGACTAGAAAGGAATTGAAAGGAATGGACACGAATGGAATAGAATGTGATGGACTCAAATGGAATGGTGTTGAATGGAATGGACTTTAATGGAATGGAGTGTTATGGACTCGAATGGATTGGAATTGAATGGACTCTTCTGGAATGGAATGGATTGGAATGAAATGGACTAGAATGGAATGGACTGGAATGGAACGGATCAGAATGAACTGGAATGGAATGGAACGAACTCGAATGGAATGGAATGGAATGGAATGGAATGAAATGAAATGGAATAGAATGTACTGCAATGGAATGGAGTGGAATGGAACAGACTCCAATGGATTGGAATGGAATGGATTCGAATTGAATAGAAAGGATTGGAAAGGAATGGACTTGAATGGAATGGAATGGAATGGCATAGAATCTAAAGGAGTGGACTGGAATGGACAAGAATGTAACGGCGTGGAATCAAATGGAATGGAGTTGAATGGAATGGACCCGAATGTATGTCATGGAATCAAATGGAATCGACTCGAACAGAATGGAATGGAATGGAATGGACTGGGATGGAATGGAATGGAATGGAATGGAATGGTATGGAAGGAAAAGGAATGGAATGGAATAGACTGAAACGGAATGGAATGGAATTGAATGGACTCACAAGGAATGGAATTGAATGGAATTCAATGGAATGGAATGGACTCGAAAGGAATGGAATTCAATGGAATGCAAAGGCATTCAATGGAATGGAATGGAATGGAATGGAAGGGAATGGATTGGACTCGAATGGAATGGAGTGGAATGGGCTCGAATGGAAAGAAATAGAATGGACTCGAATGGAATGGAACGGGATGGAACAGATTCACATGTAATAGAAGAGAATGGACTCGCATGGACTGGCGTGGAATGGAATGGATTGGAATCGAATGGAGTGCAATGGAAACGAATAGAAAGGAATGGAAATGAATGGACTCGCATGGAATGGAATGTAACAGAATGGAATGTACTCGAATGGAATGGAAGGCAATGGAATGAAATTTATTCCAATGGAATGGAAGGGAATGGAATGGAATAGAATCGAATGGAATAGAAAGGAATGGAATGGAATGGAATGAAATGTAATGGACTGGACATAAAATAGAATAGAATGGAATGGAATGGAAAGGACTAGAAGGGAATGGAATGGAATGGAGACGAATGGAATGGAATGTACTCGAAAGGAAGGGGATGGAATGTAATATAATGGACTCTAATGGGAGGGAATCTAATGGAATTGAATGGACTTGAATGGAATGGAATGGAATGGACTCGAATGGAATGGAATGCAATCGAATGGACTCAAATGGAATGGAATGCAATTGAGTAGAAAATAATTGAATGGCATGGACTAGAATGTAATAGAATGTAATGGACTCCAGTGGAAAGTTGTCGAATGGAATGGACTCATATGGAATGGAGTGGAATGGACTAGAATGAAATGGAATTGAATGGACTCGATTGGAATGGAAGATATTCTAATGAAGTGGACTGGAATGGAATGGAATTGAGTGATCTCGATTGGAATGGAATAGATTCTAAGAAATGGACTAGAATGGAATGGAATGGAATGGACCAGAACCGAATGAGTTGGAATGGAATGGAATGTAATTGAAAGGAATGGAATGGAATGTCCTCAAAAGGAATTGAATGGAATGGAATGGATTCAAATGGAATGGAATGGAATGGACTCGAATGGAATAGAAAGAATGGAAAGGAATACACTTGAACAGAATGGAATGGAATGGCATAGACTCAAATGGAATGGACCGGAATGTAATGTCATGGAATCAAATGGAATGGACTCGAATGGAATGGAATGGAATTGACTCGAATGAAATTGAATGGAATGGACTTGAGTGGAATAGAATGGAAAGGACTCGAAAGGAATGGTGTGGAATGGAGGGGATGCGAATGGAATGGAGTGGATTGGACTCGAATGGAATGGAATTGAATGGACTCGATTGGAATGGAATACAATGGAATGAAATGGATTCGAAAGGAATGGAGTGGAATGGAATGGTCACGGATGGAATGGAATGGAATGGAAAGGACTCGAATGGAATACAACGGAATTTAATCGAATGGACTCTAATGTAACGGAATGTTGTGGACTCCAATGGAATAAAATGGACTATACATGAATGGAATGGACTCAAAGGGAATGCAATGGAATGGAACGGATCCAAAGGTAATGGAATGGAATGGACTCGAATGGAATGGAATGGACTCGTATGGAATGGAAAGGAATGGAATGGATTCAAATGTAATCGAATGGATTGGACTCGAATGGAATCGAATGGGATGCACTCGAATGAAATGGAATGGAATGGAATGGAATGGACTCAAATGTAATAGAATGGAATGTACTGGAATGGAATGGAAGGTAATGGAAAGGAATGGAATCAAACGGAATGGAATGGAAAGAATAGAATTGACTGGAATGGAATGGAATGAAATGGGATGGAACTGTCTTGAGTGGAATAGAATGGAATGGAATGGTATGAAATCAAAGGGAATGGAATGGAATGGTCTCGAATGGAATGGAATGGACTCGAATGGAAGGGAATGGAATTTAATAGAATGGACCCAATGGGATGGAATCTAATGGAGTGAAATGGAATGGACTCGAATGGAATGCAATGGATTGGAATCAAATGCTATGGAATGCAATGGAATGGACTGGAATGGAATGGCATAGAATTGACTTGATGGAATGTTGAATGGATGGACACGAATGGAACAGAATGGATGGACTCCAATGGAATGGTGTGGAACGTAATGGACACGAATGAATGAGTGAATAGACTCAAATGGAATGGAACTGAAGGGACATGATTTGCATGGAAATAGTGGAATAAATTGGACTCGAATGGAATGGAATGGAATCGAGATGGTCTCGGATGGAATGGAATGGAATGGAATGGAATGGTTTGGAATGGACAGAAATGGAAGGGAATGGATAGGACCAGAAAGGAATGGAATGGAATGCAACGGACTCGAATGGAATGAAATGGAATGGAACCTATTCGAATGGAATGGAATGGAATGGTCACGAATGGAATGAAATTGGAATGAAAGGACTCAATTGGAATGGAATGGAATGGATGGACTCGAATGAAAATACACGAATTGAATGAAATGGACTCTAATGGAATGTAATGTTGTGGACTTGAATGGAATAAAAGACTTACTCAAATGGAATGGAATGAAATTGAATGGACTCGAAATGAATGGAATGAATGACGAATGGAATGGAATGGAATTGAATCGACTCGAAGGATTGGAATGCAAAGCATGAATGACTCGAATGGATTGGAATGGAATTGACTCGAATGGAATTGAATGGATTGGACCTGAATGGCATGGAATGGAAGCAATGGAATGGAATCAAATGGAATGGAATGGAATCGAATCGAATGGAATGGTATGGATTCGAATGGAATGGAATGCAATGGACTCGAATGAAATGTGTTGGAATGGAATGGACTCGAATGGAAGGAATGGAATGTAACAAATGGTATAGAATGGAATGGAACGGACTCGAATGAAATGGAATGGAATGGACTCGATGAATGGAATAGGATGGAACAGATTCAAATGTAATAGAAGAAATGGACTCTAATGGAATGGAGAAATGGAATGGACTCGAATGGAATGGAGTGCATTGGAAACGAATAGATGGAATGGAAATGAATGGACTCGAATGGAATTGAATGTAACGGAATGGAATATACTCGAATGGAATGGAAGGTATTGGAATGTAATTTATGCGAATGGAAAGGAATGGAATGGAATGAAATGGAATGGAATCGAATGGCATTGATTGGCATGGAATAGAATGGAATGGAATGGAATGGAATGGAGTGGAATCGACTGGAATGGAATGGAATGAAATGGAATAGAATGGACTTGAATGAAATAGAATGGAATGGAATGGAATGGAATGGAAAGGAATGGATTAGAAGGGAATGGAATGAAATGGACTCAAATGGAATGGAATGGACTAGATTGGAAGGGCATGTAATGTAATACAATGGACCCTAATGGAATGGAATCTAATGGAATGGAATCGAATGGAATTGAATGGAATGGAATTGACTCAATTGCAATGGAACAGAATGGAATGGACTCGAATGGAATGGAATGGAATGGAATTGACTAGAAAGGAATTGAAAGGAATGGACACGAATGGAATAGAATGTGATGGACTCGAATGGAATGGTGTTGAATGGAATGGACTTTAATGGAATGGAGTGTTATGGACTCGAATGGATTGGAATTGAATGGACTCTTCTGGAATGGAATGGATTGGAATGAAATGGACTAGAATGGAATGGAATGGAATGGAACGGAAGAGAATGAACTGGAATGGAATGGAACGGACTCGAATGGAATGGAATGGAATGGAATGAAATGGAATAGAATGTACTGCAATGGAATGGAGAGGAATGGAACAGACTCCAATGGATTGGAATGGAATGGATTCGAATTGAATAGAAAGGAATGGACTTGAATGGAATGGAATGGAATGGCATAGAATCCAAAGGAGTGGACTGGAATGGACAAGAATGTAACGGCGTGGAATAAAATTTAATGGAGTTGAATGGAATGGACCCGAATGTATGTCATGGAATCAAATGGAATCGACTCGAACAGAATGGAATGGAATGGAATGGACTGGGATAGAATGGAATGGAACGGAATGGTATGGAAGGAAAAGGAATGGAATGGAATGGACTCAAACGGAATGGAATGGAATTGAATGGACTCAAAAGGAATGGAATTGAATGGAATTCAATGGAATGGAATGGACTCGAAAGGAATGGAATTGAATGGAATGCAAAGGCATTCAATGGAATGGAATGGAATGGAAGGGAATGGATTGGACTCGAATGGAATGGAGTGGAATGGGCTCGAATGGAAAGAAATAGAATGGACTCAAATGGAATGGAACGGGATGGAACAGATTCACATGTAATAGAAGAGAATGGACTCGCATAGACTGGCGTGGAATGGAATAGATTGGAATGGAATGGAGTGCAATGGAAACGAATAGAAAGGAATGGAAATGATGGACTCGCATGAATGGAATGTAACAGAATGGAATGTACTCGAATGGAATGGAAGGCAATGGAATGAAATTTATTCGAATGGAAAGGAATGGAATAGAATGGAATGGAAGGGAATGGAATGGAATGGAATGGAATAGAATAGAATGGAATAGAAAGGAATGGAATGGAATGAAATGTAATGGACTGAACTTAAAATGGAATAGAATGAAATGGAGTGGATAGGAATAGAAGGGAATGGAATGGACACGAATGGAATGGAATGGACTCGAAAGGAAGGGGATGGAATGTAAAAGTATGGACTCTAATGGAAGGGAATCTAATGGAATTGAATGGACTTGAATGGAATGGAATGGAATGGACTCGAATGGAATGGAATGCAATTGAATGGACTCAAATGGAATGGAATGCAATTGAGTAGAAAATAATTGAATGGCATGGACTAGAATGTAATAGAATGTAATGGACTCCAGTGGAAAGTTGTCGAATGGAATGGACTCATATGGAATGGAGTGGAATGGACTAGAATGGAATGGAATTGAATGGACTCGATTGGAATGGAAGATATTCTAATGAAGTGGACTCGAATGGAATGGAATTGAGTGATCTCGATTGAATGGAATAGATTCTAAGAAATGGACTAGAATGGTATGGACCAGAACCGAATGAGTTGGAATGGATGGAATGTAATTGAAAGGAATGGAATGGAATGAATGGATTGTCCTCAAAGGAATTGAATGGATGGAACGGATTCGAATGGAATGGAATGGAATGTACTCGAATGGAAGAAAGAATGGAAAGGAAAGACTGAACAGAATGGAATGGAATGGCATAGACGAATGAATGGACCCGATGTAATGTCATGGAATCAATGAATGGACTCGAATGGAATGGAATGGAATTGAACTCGAATGAAATTGAATGGAATGGACTTGAGTGCAATAGAATGGAAAGGACTCGAAAGGAATGGTGTGGAATGGAGGGGATTAATGGAATGGAGTGGATTGGACTCGATTGGAATGGAATTGAATGGACTCGATGGAATGGAATACAATGGAATGAAATGGATTCGAAAGAATGGACTGGAATGGAATGGTCACGGATGGAATGAAATGGAATGGAAAGGACTCGAATGAAATACAACGGAATTTAATCGAATGGACTCTAATGTAACGGAATGTTGTGACTCCAATGGAATAAAAGGACTATCACGAATGGAATGGACTCGAAGGGAATGGAATGGAATGCAACGGATCCAAAGGTAATAGAATGGAATGGACTCGAATGGAATGGAATGGCTCGGATGAATTGAAAGGAATGGAATGGATTCAATGTATAGAATGGATTGGACTCTAATGGAATCGATGGGATGCACTCGAATGGAATGAATGGAATGGACTCAAATGTAATAGAATGGAATGTATTGAAAGGAATGGAAGGTAATGGAAGAATGGATGAACGGATGGAAATGGAAAGGAATAGATGGACTGGTAATGGAATGGAATGAAATGGAATGGAACTGTCTTGAATGGTATAGAATGGAATGGAATGGTATGAAATCAAAGGGAATGGAATGGAATGGTCTCAAATGGAATGGAATGGACTTGAATGGAAGGGAATGGAATTTAATAGAATGGACCCAATGGATGGAATCTAATGGAGTGGAATGGAATGGACTCGAATGGAATGGAATGGATTGGAATCAAAATGCTATGGAATGCAATGGAATGGACTGGAATGGAATGGCATAGAATTGACTTGAATGGAATTGAATGGAATGGACACGAATGGAACAGAATGGGATGGACTCCAATGGAATGGTGTGGAACGGAATGGACACGAATGGAATGGAGTGGAATAGACTCAAATGGAATGGAACTGAAGGGACATGATTTGTATGGAATGTAGTGGAATAAATTGGACTCGAATGGAATGGAATGGAATCGAATGGTCCTCAGATGAATGGAATGGAATGGTTTTGGATATGGACAGAAATGGAAGGGAATGGATAGGACCAGAAAGGAATGGAATGGAATGCAACGGACTCGAATGGAATGAAATGGAATGGAACCTATTCGAATGGAATGGAATGGAATGGTCACGAATGGAATGAAATGGAATGGAAAGGACTCAAATGGAATGGAATGGAATGGAATGGACTCGAATGAAATACAACAGAATTGAATGAAATGGACTCTAATGGAATGTAATGTTGTGGACTTGAATGGAATAAAATGGACTTTACTCAAATGGAATGGAATGAAATTGAATGGACTCGAATGAATGGAATGGAATGGATGCGAATGGAATGGAATGGAATTGAATCGACTCGAAGGGATTGGAATGCAAAGCAATGGAATGGACTCGAATGGATTGGAATGGAATTGACTCGAATGGAATTGAATGGATTGGACCTGAATGGCATGGAATGGAATGCAATGGAATGGAATCAAATGGAATGGAATTTAATCGAATCGAATGGAATGGTATGGATTCGAATGGAATGGAATGCAATGGACTCGAATGAAACGTGTTGGAATGGAATGGACTCGAATGGAAAGGAATGGAATGCAACCAAATGGTATAGAATGGAATGGAATGGACTCGAATGAAATGGAATGGAATGGACTCGAATGGAATGGAATAGGATGGAACAGATTCAAATGTAATAGAAGAGAATGGACTGCAATGGAATGGAGAGAAATGGAATGGACTCGAATGGAATGGAGTGCATGGGAAACGAATAGATGGAAAGGAAATGAATGGACTCGAATAGAATTGAATGTAACGGAATGGAATGTACTCGAATGGAATGAAGGTAATGGAATGTAATTTATGCGAATGGAAAGGACTGGAATGGAATGAAATGGAATGGAATCGAATGGCATTGAATGGCATGGAATAGAATGTAATGGAATGGAATGGAGTGGAATCGACTGGAATGGAATGGAATGAAATGGAATAGAATGGACTTGAATGAAATAATGGAATGGAATGGAATGGAATGGAATGGAAAGGAATGGATTCAGAGGGAATGGAATGAAATGGACTCGAATGGAATGGAATGGACTAGATTGGAATGGCATGTAATGTAACACAATGGACACTAATGGAATGGAATCTAATGAAATGGAATGGAATGGAATGGAATGGAATGGAATGGAATGGACTCGATTGCAATGGAACAGAATGGAATGGGCTCGAATGGAATGGAATGGAATGGAATTGCCTAGAAAGGAATTGAAAGGAATGGACACGAATGGAATAGAATGTGATGGACTCGAATGGAATGGTGTTGAATGGAATGGAGTGTTATGGACTCGAATGGATTGGAATTGAATGGACTCTTCTGGAATGGAATGGATTGGAATGAAATGGACTAGAATGGAATGGAACGGAATGGAACGGAACAGAATGAACTGGAATGGAATGGAACGGACTCGAATGGAATGGAATGGAATGGAATGGAATGGAATGGAATGAAATGGAATGGAATGGAATGAAATGGAATAGAATGGACTTGAATGAAATAATGGAATGGAATGGAATGGAATGGATTGGAATGGAATGTAATGGAATGGAATGGAATGGAGAGGAATGGATTCGGAGGGAATGGAATGAAATGGACTCGAATGGAATGGAATGGACTAGATTGGAAGGGCATGTAATGTAATACAATGGACCCTAATGGAATGGAATCTAATGGAATGGAATCGAATGGAATTGAATGGAATGGAATTGACTCGATTGCAATGGAACAGAATGGAATGGACTCGAATGGAATGGAATGGAATGGAATTGACTAGAAAGGAATTGAAAGGAATGGACACGAATGGAATAGAATGTGATGGACTCGAATGGAATGGTGTTGAATGGAATGGACTTTAATGGAATGGAGTGTTATGGAATCGAATGGATTGGAATTGAATGGACTCTTCTGGAATGGAATGGATTGGAATGAAATGGACTAGAATGGAATGGAATGGAACGGAACAGAATGAACTCGAATGGAATGGAACGGACTCTAATGGAATGGAATGGAACGGAATGGAATGGAATGGAATGAAATGGAATAGAATGTACTGCAATGGAATGGAGTGGAATGGAACCGACTCCAATGGATTGGAATGGAATGGATTCGAATTGAATAGAAAGGAATGGAAAGGAATGGACTTGAATGGAATGGAATGGAATGGCATAGAATCCAAAGGAGTGGACTAGAATGGACAAGAATGTAACGGTGTGGAATCAAATGGAATGGAGTTGAATGGAATGGACCCGAATGTATGCCATGGAATCAAATGGAATCGACTCGAACAGAATGGAATGGAATGGAATGGTCTGGGACGGAATGGAATGGAATGGAATGGTATGGAAGGAAAAGAATGGAATGGAATGGACTGAAACGGAATGGAATGGAATTGAATGGACTCAAAAGGAATGGAATTGAATGGAATTCAATGGAATGGAATGGACTCGAAAGAATGGAATTGAATGGAATGCAAAGTCATTCAATGGAATGGAATGGAAGGGAATGGATTGGACTCGAATGGAATGGAGTGGAATGGGCTCGAATGGAAAGAAATAGAATGGACTCGAATGGAATGGAACGGGATGGAACAGATTCACATGTAATAGAAGAGAATGGACTCGCATAGACTGGCGTGGAATGGAATGGATTGGAATGGAATGGAGTGCAATGGAAACGAATAGAAAGGAATGGAAATGAATGGACTCGCATGGAATGGAATGTAACAGAATGGAATGTACTCGAATGGAATGGAAGGTAATGGAATGAAATTTATTCGAATGTTAAGGAATGGAATAGAATGGAATGGAATGGAATGGAATGGAATGGAATGGAATAGAATAGAATGGTATAGAAAGGAATGGAATGGAATGGAATGAAATGTAATTGACTGGACTTAAAATGGAATAGAATGGAATGGAATGGATAGGACTAGAAGGGAATGGAATGGAATGGACACGAATGGAATGGAATGGACTCGAAAGGAAGGGGATGGATTGTAAAAGAATGGACTCTAATGGAAGGGAATCTAATGGAATTGAATGGACTTGAATGGAATGGACTCGATTGGAATGGAATGCAATCGAATGGACTCAAATGGAATGGAATGCAATTGAGTAGAAAATAATTGAATGGCATGGACTAGAATGTAATAGAATGTAATGGACTCCAGAGGAAAGTTGTCGAATGGAATGGACTCATATGGAATGGAGTGGAATGGACTAGAATGGAATGGAATTGAATGGACTCGATTGGAATGGAAGATATTCTAATGAAGTGGACTCGAATGGAATGGAATTGATTGATCTCGATTGGAATGGAATAGATTCTAAGAAATGGACTAGAATGGTATGGACCAGAACCGAATGAGTTGGAATGGAATGGAATGTAATTGAAAGGAATGGAATGGAATGGAATGGAATGTCCTCAAAAGGAATTGAATGGAATGGAACGGATTCGAATGGAATGGAATGGAATGGACTCGAATGGAATAGAAAGAATGGAAAGGAATAGACTTGAACAGAATGGAATGAAATGGCATAGACTCGAATGGAATGGACCCGAATGTAATGTCATGGAATCAAATGGAATGGACTCGAATGGAATGGAATGGAATGGAATTGACTCGAAAGAAATTGAATGGAATGTACTTGAGTGGAATAGAATGGAAAGGACTCGAAAGGAATGGTGTGGAATGGAGGGGATGCGAATGGAATGGAGTGGATTGGACTCGAATGGAATGGAATTGAATGGACTCGATTGGAATGGAATACAATGGAATGAAATGGATTCGAAAGGAATGGACTGGAATGGAATGGTCACGGATGGAATGGAATGGAATGGAAAGGACTCGAATGAAATACAACGGAATTTAATCGAATGGACTCTAATGTAACGGAATGTTGTGGACTCCAATGGAATAAAAAGGACTATACACGAATTTAATGGACTCGAAGGGAATGGAATGGAATGGAACGGATCCAAAGGTAATAGAATGTAATGGACTCGAATGGAATGGAATGGACTCGGATGGAATGGAAAGGAATGGAATGGATTCAAATGTAATCGAATGAATTGGACTCGAATGGAATCGAATGGGATGCACTCGAATGAAATGGAATGGAATGCAATGGACTCAAATGTAATAGAATGGAATGTACTGGAATGGAATGGAAGGTAATGGAAAGGAATGGAATCAAACGGAATGGAATGGAAAGGAATAGAATGGACTGGAATGGAATGGAATGAAATGGAATGGAACTGTCTTGAATGGAATAGAATGGAATGGAATGGTATGAAATCAAAGGGAATGGAATGGAATGGTCTCGAATGGAATGGAATGGACTCGAATGGAAGGGAATGGAATTTAATAGAATGGACCCAATGGGATGGAATCTAATGGAGTGGAATGGAATGGACTCGAATGGAATGGAATGGATTGGAATCAAATGCTATGGAATGCAATGGAATGGACTGGAAAGGAATGGCATAGAATTGACTTGAATGGAATTGAATGGAATGGACACGAATGGAACAAATGGATGGACTCCAGTGGAATGGTGTGGAACGGAAGGACACGAATGGAATGGAGTGGAATAGACTCAAATGGAATGGAACTGAAGGGACATGATTTGTATGGAATGTAGTGGAATAAATTGGATTCGAATGGAATGGAAAGGAATCGAATGGTCTCGGATGGAATGGAATGGAATGGAATGAAATGGTTTGGAATGGACAGAAATGGAAGGGAATGGATAGGACCAGAAAGGAATGGAATGGAATGCAGTGGACTCGAATGGAATGAAATGGAATGGAACCTATTCGAATGCAATGGAATGGAATGGTCACGAATGGAATGAAATGGAATGGAAAGGACTCAAATGGAATGGAATGGAATGGAATGGACTCAAATGAAATACAACAGAATTGAATGAAATGGACTCTAATGGAATGTAATGTTGTGGACTTGAATGGAATAAATGGACTTTACTCAAATGAATGAATGAAATTGAATGGACTCGAACTGAATGGAATGGAATGATGCGAATGGATGAAATGGAATTGAATCGACTCGAAGGATTGGATGCAAGCAATGGAATGGACTCGAATGGATTGGAATGGAATTGACTCGAATGGAATTGAATGGATTGGACCTGAATGGCATGGAATGGAATGCAATGGAATGGAATCAAATGGAATGGAATGGAATCAAATCGAATGGAATGGTATGGATTCGAATGGAATGGAATGCAATGTACTTGAATGAAATGTGTTGGAATGGAATGGACTCGACTGGAAAGGGATGGAATGTAACCAAATGGTATAGAATGGAATGCAATGGACTCGAATGAAATGGAATGGAATGGACTCGAATGGAATGGAATAGGATGGAACAGATTTAAATGTAATAGAAGAGAATGGACTCTAATGGAATGGAGAGAAATGGAATGGACTCGAATGGAATGGAGTGCATGGGAAACGAATAGATGGAATGGAAATGAATGGACTCGAATGGAATTGAATGTAACGGAATGGAATGTAATCGAATGGAATGGAAGGTAATGGAATGTAATTTATGCGAATGGAAAGGAATGGAATGGAATGAAATGGAATGGAATCGAATGGCATTGAATGGCATGGAATAGAATGGAATGGAATGGAATGGAGTGGAATCGACTGGAATGGAATGGAATGAAATGGAATAGAATGGCCTTGAATGACATAGAATGGAGTGGAATGGAATGGAATGGAAAGGAATGGATTCGAAGGGAATGGAATGAAATGGACTCGAATGGAATGGAATGGACTAGAAAGGAAGGGCATGTAATGTAATAGTATGGACCCTAATGGAATGGATTCCAATGTAATGGAATCGAATGGAATTGAATGGAACGGAATTGACTCGATTGGAATGGAACACAATGGAATGGACTCGAATGGAATGGAATGGAATGGACTTGAGTAGAAAGGAATTGAAAGGAATGGACACGAATGGAATAGAATGTGATGGACTCGAATGGAATGGTGTTGAATGGAATGGACTTTAATGGAATGGAGTGTTATGGACTCGAATGGATTGGAATTGAATGGACTCTTCCGGAATGGAATGGATTGGAATGAAATGGACTAGAATGGAATGGAATGGAATGGAACAGAACAGAATGAATTGGAATGGAATGGAACGGACTCGAATGGAATGGAATGGAATGAAATGGAATAGAATGTACTGCAATGGAATGGAGTGGAATGGAACAGACTCCAATGGATTGGAATGGAATGGATTCGAATTGAATAGAAAGGAATGGAAAGGAATGGACTTGAATGGAATGGAATGGAATGGCATAGAATCCAAAGGAGTGGACTGGAATGGACAAGAATGTAACGGCGTGGAATGAAATGGAATGGAGTTGAATGGAATGGACCCGAATGTATGCCATGGAATCAAATGGAATCGACTCGAACAGAATGGAATGGAATGGAATGGACTGGGATGGAATGGAATGCAATGGAATGGTGTGGAATGAAAAGGAATGGTATGGAATGGACTGAAACGGAATGGAATGGAATTGAATGGACTCAAAAGGAATGGAATTGAATGGAATTCAATGGAATGGAATGGACTCGAAAGGAATCGAATTGAATGGAATGCAAAGGCATTCAATGGAATGGAATGGAATGGAAGGGAATGGATTGGACTCGAATGGAATGGAGCGGAATGGGCTCGAATGGAAAGAAATAGAATGGACTCGAATGGAATGGAATGGGATGGAACAGATTCACATGTAATAGAAGAGAATGGACTCGCATGGACTGGCGTGGAATGGAATGGATTCGAATGGAATGGAGTGCAATGGAAACGAATAGAAAGGAATGGAAATGAATGGACTCGCATGGAATGGAATGTAACAGAATGGAATGTACTCGAATGGAATGGAAGGTAATGGAATGGAATTTATTCGAATGGAAATGAATGGAATGGAATGGAATGGAATAGAATAGAATGGAATAGAAAGGAATGGAATGGAATGGAATGAAATGTAATGGACTGGACTTAAAATGGAATAGAATGGAATGGAATGGAAAGGACTAGAAGGGAATGGAATGGAATGGACACGAATGGAATGGAATGGACTCGAAAGGAAGGGGATGGAATGTAATAGAATGGACTCTAATGGAAGGGAATCTAATGGAATTCAATGGACTTGAATGGAATGGAATGGAATGGACTCGAATGGAATGGAATGCAATCAAATGGACTCAAATGGATTGGAATGCAATTGAGTAGAAAATAATTGAATGTCATGGACTAGAATGTAATAGAATGTAATGGTCTCCAGTGGAAAGTAGTCGAATGGAATGGACTCATATGGAATGCAGTGGAATGGACTTGAATGGAATGGAATTGAATGGACTCGATTGGAATGGAAGATATTCTAATGAAGTGGGCTCCAATGTTATGGAATTGAGTGATCTCGATTGGAATGGAATAGATTCTAAGAAATGGACTAGAATGGAATGGAATCGAATGGACCAGAACCGAATGAGTTGGAATGGAATGGAATGTAATTGAAAGGAATGGAATGGAATGGAATGGAATGTCCTCAAAAGGAATTGAATGGAATGGAACGGATTCGAATGGAATGGAATGGAATGGACTCGAATGGAATAGAAAGAATGGAAAGAATAGACTTGAACAGAATGGAATGGAATGGCATATACTCGAATGGAATGGATCTGAATGTAATGTCATGGAATCAAATGAAACGGACTCGAATGGAATGGAATGGAATGGAATGGAATGGACTGGAATGGAATGGAATTGAATGATATGGAAGGGAATGGAATGAAATGGAATGGACACAAACGGAATGGAATGGTATTGAATGGACTCGAAAGAAATGGAATTGAATGGAATGCAATGGAATTGAATGAAATGCACTCAAACGGAATGGAATTGTATTGAATGTACTCGAAAGAAATGGAATTGAATGGAATGCAATGGAATTGAATGGAATGCAATGGAATGGACATGAAAGGATTGGAATGCAGTGGAATGGACTCAAATGGAATGTAATGGAATGGAATGGAATGGACTCGAATGGATTGGTATGTAGTGGAATGTACTCGAATGGAATGGAATGGAATGGACTCTAATGGAATGGAATGGAGTCAACTCTAATAGAATAGATTGGAATGGAATGGACTCAAGTGGAATGGAATGGGATGGAATGGAATGGAATAGAATGCAATGGAATGGACTCAAGTGGAATGGTATGGAATCGACAGGACTCGATAGGATTGTAAAGGAATGGAATGGTATGGTCTCGAATGGAATGGAATGGAATGGAATAAACTCGGTTGGAATGGAATGGCCTCGAAAGGAATGGAATGGAATTGAAACGACGTGAGTGGAATGGAATGGAATGAAATGGACACGAATGTAACGTAATGGAATGGAATGGAAAGGAATGGAATGGACTTGAGTGGAATTGAATGGAATGAAATGGACACGAATGTAACGTAATGGAATGGAATGGAAAGGAATGGAATGGACTTGAATGGAATAGAATGGAAGTGACTTGAAAGGAATGGAATGGAATGGAATGGAATGGAAAGGAGTTGAATGGAATAGAATGTAATGGACTGCAATGGAATGGAATGGAAGGGACTCGAATGGAATTGAATGGAGTGGAATGGACTCGAATGGATTGGAATAGAATAGAAGGGATTCGAACGGAATGGAATGGAATGTACTCGAATGAAATGTGTTGGAATGGAATGGCTCGAATGGAATGGAATGGAATGGACTCAAATGGTATCAAATGGAATGGAATGGACTGGAATGGAATGAAGTGGAATGGACGTGAATGGAATGTAATGGACTTGAATGGAACGGAAAGGAATGGACCCGAAAGGAATAAAACGGAATAGAATGGAATGAAGTAGAATGGAATGGAATGGACTCGAATGGAATAGAAAGGAATGCAATCGAATGGAATGGGGTGGAATGGAATGGTCTTGAATGAAATGGACATGAATGCAATGGAATGGACTTGAATGGAATGGAAAGGAATGCACAAGAATGGAATGGAATTGAATGGAATGGATTGGAATGGAATGGAATGGAATGGAATGAAATGGAGTGGAATGGACTTGAATGAAATAGTATGGAATGGAATGGAATGGACTCGAAGGGAATCGAATGGAATGGACTTGAATGGAATAGAATGGAATGGAATCAAAAGGAATTTTGTGGAATGGAATGGACTATAATGGTATGGAATGGAAGGGACTCGAATGGAATGGAATGGACTCGAATAGAATGGAATGGAACGGACCAGATTGGAATGTACTGGAATGGAATGGAATGGAATGTACTGGAATGGAAAGGAATGGAATGGACTTGAATGAGAGAGTATGGAATGGAATGGAATGGACTCGAAGGGAATGCAATGGAATGGACTCGAAGGGAATGCAATGGAATTGACTCGAATGGAATGCAATGGACTCGAATGGAATGGAATGGAATTTAATTGAATGGACTCTAATGGAATGGAATCTAATGGAATCGAATGGAATGGACACTAACTGAATAGAATGGAATGGACTCTAATAGAATGGAATGCAATGGAATAGACTTGAAAGGAATGGAATGTCATGGATTTGAATGGAATGGAAAGGAATTGAATTGTCTCAAAAAGAATGGAGTGGAATGCCATGCAATGGACGCGAATGGAATGGAATAGAATTGACTGGAAGGGAATAGAATGGAATGGACCCGAATGGAATGTAATGGAAACGAATGGACTCGAATTAAATGGAATGGAATGTGCTAGAATCAAATGGAATGGAATTGAATGATCTCAAAAGGAATGGTATGGAATGCAATGCAAAGGGATTGAAAGGAAAGGAAAGGAACTCACCCGAAGAGAATAGAATAGAATGGACCTGAATGGAATGGAATGGAATCGAATGGACTAGAGTGGAATGAAATTTATTTGAATGGACTCTGATAGATTGGAATGGAGTGAAATGGAAAGGACTTGAAGGGAAGGAATTGAATGGACTGGAATGGAAAGGAATGGAATGGATGGACTCGAACGGAATGGAATGGAATAGACTCGAATGGAATACAAATGAATGGACTCGAATAAAATGGAATAGAATGGAAGGGAATGGAATCGAATGGAATGTAATGTAATGGACTCGAATGGAATGGAATGGACACAAAGGGAATGGAATGGAATGGAATGGACTTGAATCGAACGGAATGTAATGTTATGGAGTGGACTAGAGTGGAACGGAATGAAATGGAGTCGAATGGATTTGCATGGCATGTAATGGACCTGAATGGAATGGAATGGAATTTAATGGAATAGAATAGAATGGAATGGACTCGAATGGAATTGAATGGAATTGAATGGACTCGAAAGGAATGAAATTGAATGGAATGGAATGGTCTCGAATTTAATGGAATGGCATGGACTTGAATGGAATGGAATGGACTCGAAAGGAATGGAATGGAATGGAAACTAGAGTGGACTGGAATGGAATGGACTCGAATTGAATGGAAAGGAATGGACCCGAATGGAACGGAACGGAATGGAATGGAATGGAACGGAATGGAATGGAAAGATGTGGAATGGAATGGACTTGAATGGAATAGAATGGAATGGAATGGAATCAAAAGGAATTGAAAGGAACGGACACGAATGGAATGGAATGGACACAAACGGAATGGAATGGAATGGAATGTACTCGAATGGAATACAATGGAATTCAATGGAATGGACTCTAATGGAATTGAATGGAATGGACTCTAATGGAATAGAGTGGAATGCACTTGAATGGAACGGAATGGAATGGAATTGAATGTACTCGAAAAGCATGTAATGGAATGCAATGGAATGGAATCAAATGGAACGGAATGGAAGGGACTCGAATGGAATGGAATGCAATGGAATGGACTCAAATGGAATGGAATGGAATGGACTCGAATGGAATGGAATGCAATGGAATGGACTCAAATGCAGTGGAATGGAATTGACTCGAATGAAATTGAATGGAATGGACACAAATGAAATGGAATGAATTCAATGGACTCAAATAGAATGGAATGCAGTGGCATGTGCACGAATGGAATGGAATTGGATGGAATGAATTCGAACGGAATTAAAAGGAATTGACTCGAATGAAATGGGTGAATGGAGTGGATTCGAATGGAAAGGAATGCAATGGACGCAAATGGAAGTGAATTGAATGGATTCAAATGGAAGAGAATGCAATGGTATGGGCTGGAAGGGAATGCAATGGAATGGAATGGAAGGGAATGGACTCGAATGGAATGGAATGGCATGGACTGGAATGGAATGCAAGGAATGGAATGGAATGGGATGGAATGGCCTTGAATGTCATGGAATGGACTCGAATGGAATGGAATGTAATGGACTGGAATGGAAAGCAATGGAATGGAATGGAATGGGATAGAATGGCCTTGAATGTCATGGAATGGACTCGAATGGAATGGAATGTAATGGACTGGAATGGAAAGCAATGGAATGGAATGGAATGGGATGGAACGGACTAGAATGGAAAGGAATGGAAGGGACTCAAATGGAATAGAATGGAAGGGAATGGACTGGAATGGAATGCAATGGAATGGAATCGAATGGAACGGAATGGGCTCAAAAGGAATGGAAAGGAATTGAATGGAATGGAGTGGAATGGAATGGACTTGAATGGAATGGCCTTGAATGCAAAGGAATGGACTCGAATGGAATGGAATGTAATGGAATGAAATGGACCCGAATGGAATGGAAAGGACTTGAAAGGAGTGGAATCAAGCAGAATGCGATGGACTTGAATGGAATAGAAAGGAAAGGAATGGAATGGAAGGGACTCGAAGGGAATTGAATGGAATGGGCTTGAATGGAATGGAATGGTCTCGAATGGAATGGAATGGAATTTAATGGAATGGACTCTAATGGAATGGAATGCAATGGAATGGACTGAAATGGAATGGAATGGAATGGAATTGAATGGGAAGAACTGGAATGGAATGGAATGAAGCAGAATGGAATGGACTTGAATGGAATAGAATGGAATGGATTAGAATGGAAGGGACTAGAAAGGAATGGAATTGAATGGACTCGAATGGAATGGAATGGACTCGAATGGAATGGAATGGAATTTAATGGAATGGACACTAATGGAATGGAATCTAATGGAATTGAATGAAATGGACTCGAATGGAGTACAATGGAATTGACTCGAATGTAATGGAATGCAATGGAAAGGACAGAAATGGAATGGAATGGAATGGACTCAAACGGAATAGAGTGGAATGGACTCGAATGGAATGGTGTGGAATGGAATGGACTCGAATGGAATGGAGTGGAATAGACTCGAATGGAATGGAATTGAGTGGACTCGGTTGGAATGGAATGTAATGTAATGGAATGGTCTCAAATGAAATGCAATGGAGTGGAATGGACTTGAATGGAATGGAATGGAATGGACGCGAATGGAGTTGAATGGAATGGAATGGACTCGAATGGAATCTAATTGAATGGAATGGAATGGAATGTATTCGAATGGAATACAGCGGAATTGAATGGAATGGAATCTAATGGAATGGAATGGAGTGGACTCAAATGGAATAAAAAGGAATGGACTCGAATGGAATGTATTGCAATGGAAATGACTCGAATGGAAGGGAATGGAATGGATTCGAATAGAATGTAATGGAATTCAATGGACTCGAAATGATTGGAATGGAATGTGATGGAATTGACTCAAATGGAATTGAATGGAATTGACTCGAATGGAATTGAATGGATTGGAGCCTAATGCAATGGAATGGAATCGAATAGAATTCAATGGAATGGAATGGACAGGTTCGGAATGGAATGGAATGGAATTGAATGGACTCGAGTGGAATGGGTTGGGAAGGAATGGTCTCGAATGGAATGGAATGGAAATGACTCAAAAGGAATAGCATGGAATGGAATGGACTCGAATGCAGTGGAATGGAATGGAATCAAATGGAATGGAATGGAATCGAATGGAATGGTATGGAATGGAATGTACTCGAATTGAATGGAATGTAGAGGAAGAGAATGGAGTCGAATGGAATGGAATGTAATGGAATGAAACGGAATCGAATGGAATGGAAACGAAAGGAATGGTATGGAATGGAATGGAATGGAATTTAAATGGAATGGACTCAAACGGATTGCAGTTGAACTGAATTGACTTGAAAGGAATGGACAGGAATGGAATGGAATGGAATAGACTCGAATGGAATGGAATGCTGTGGACTCGAATGGAATGGAATTGACTCAAATGGAATGGAATCGACTCGAACGGAATGAAATGGGTAGGAATTTACTCGAATGAAATGGAATGGAATGGAATGGAATGGACTCAAATGGAATGGAATGGAATGGAATGGAATGGACTCAAATGGAATGGAAAGTAGTGGAATGGGCTCGAATGGAATGGAATGGAATAGTACAGATGCGAACGGAATGGAATGGAATGTATTCCAATGAAATTGGTTAGAAAGGAATGGACTCGAATGGCATGGAATGGAAAGGACTCAAATGGTATCGAATGGAATGGAATTGTCTGGAACATAAAGAAATGGCATGAACTCGAATGGAATGGAATGGACTCGAATGGAATGGAATGGAATGGATTGGACTCAAATGGAATAGAACGGAATGGAATGGAATGTACTGGAATGGAATGGAATCAAATGGAATGGAGTAGAATTGTATGGACTCGAATGAAATGGACACGAATGCAATGGAATGGACTCGAATGGAATGGAAAGGAATGGACCCGAATGGAATGGAATGGAATGGAATGGACTAGAATGGAATGGACTCGAGTGGCATGGAGTGGAATGGAATCAAATGAAATGTAATGGAATTGAATGGACTTGAATTGAACGGAATGAAATGTTATGGAATGGACTAGAATGGAATGGAATGAGTGGAATGAAATGGAGTCGAATGGAATTGAATGGAATGGAATGCATTCGAATGAAATGGAATGGAATGGACACGAATGGAATGTAATGGAATGGAATCGAATAGACTCAAAAGGAATGGAATGGTATGGTATTGAATGGAATGGAATGGAATGGACTAGGATGGAATGGAATGGATTCGAAAGGAATGGAATGGAATTGAAATGAAGTGTCTGGAATGGAATGGAATGGAATGGACACGAATGTAAAGGAACGGAAAGAAATGGACTCGAATGGAATGGAATGGAATGGACCTGAAAGGATTGGAATGGAATGGAAAGGAGTCGAATGGAATTGAATATAATGGACTGGAGTGGAATGGAATGGAATCTAATGGAATGGACTCGAATGGAATGGACCCGACTGGAATGGAATGTACTGGAATGGAATGGAATGATGTGGAATGGAATGGAATTGAATGGAATAGAATGCAATGGACTTGAAAGGAATGGAATGGAATGGACTTGAATGGACACGAATTGAATGGAAGGGAATAGAATGGACTCAAATGGAATACAGTGGAATTTAATGGAATGGAATGGACTCTAATGGAATGGAATCGAATGGGCTATAATGGAATGGAATGGAATGGAATGGACACGAATGGAATAGAATGGAATGGTCACCAATGGAATGGAATGCAATGGAAAGGACTCGAATGGAATTTAATGGAATTGAATGGTCTCTAAAGGAATGGAATGGAATGCAATGGAATGGACTCGAAAGGAATGGAATGGAATTGATTCTAACAGAATTGAATGGAATGGAACCGAAAGGAATGGATTGGAATGGAATGGACTCGAATGGAATGGAATGGATTGGAATGCACTCGAATGGAATGTAATGTAATGGAGTGCAATCGAATGGACTCGAATGGAACAGAATGGAAAGGACTCAAATCGAATAGAATGGAATGGAATGGACTCGAATGGAATGGAATGGAACTGACACGAATGGAATGTAATCGAATGGAATGGAAATGAATGGAATGGAAAGGAATGAAATGGAATGGTAAGCTATGGAAAGGAATGGACTTGAATGGAATAGAATGGAATGGAATCGAATCGAATCAAATGGATTGGAAAGGATACGAATGCAATGGAATGCAATGGAATGGAACGGAATGGAAAGGATTGGAATGGTATGTAATGCAATGGAATGGAATGGACATGAATGTAATAGAATGGAATGGACTCGAATGAAATGGAATGGAATGTACTCCAAAGGAATGGAAAGGATTGGACTATAATGGAATGGAATTGAATGGACTCAAATGTAATGGAATGATATGGAATGGAAAGGTTTAGAATGGAATGCAATGTAATGGACTCTAATGGAATGGAATGGAATGCAATTTAATGTACATGAATGGAATGGAATTGACGTGAATGGAATGGAATTGTCTCAAATGGAATGGACATGAATGGAATGGAATGAAAATGAAAGAAATGGACTCAAATGGAATTGAAAGTAATGGAATGAAATGGACTTGAAAGGAATGGAATGGAATGAATTGGAATGGAAGGGAATGGAATGGAATGGGATGGAAAGGAATGTAATATAGTGGAATGGAATGGAACAGAATGGAATGGTATGGATGGCAATTTAATGGAAAGGAGTAGAATGGAATGGAATGAAATGGACTTGAAAGGAATGGAATGGATTGGAATGGCCTCGAATGGAATGGAATAGAGTGGCCTCGAATGGAATGGACTCGAATGGAGTGTAATGGAATGGAATCACTCGAGTGGAATTGAATGACATTGGATGGAATGCACTTGAATGGCATGGAATGGAATTGAATCGAATGTAACAGAAAGTAATGGACATGAATTTAATGGATTGGAATGGAATGCAATGGACTCGAATGTAATGGAATGGAACTGAATGGATTCGAATTGAATGGAATGGAATGGAATTGAATGGAATGAAATCGAATGGAAACGAATGAAATGGACTCCAATGGAATGGAATGGACTGGAATGGAATGGAATGGAATGGAAGGGAATGGAATGGAATGGAATGGAAAGGACTGGAATGGAGTGGAATGGAATGGAACGGACTCAAATAGAATGGAATGTAATGGAATTGACTCGAATGTAATGTAATGGAATGGAATAGCTTGGAATGGAATGGAAAGGAAATAAATGGAATAGAATTGAAGGGAATGGAATGGAATGGACTGGACTGGAATGGAATGGAATGGATTGAAGGAATGGAATGGAATTGAATGGAATGGACTCGAATGGAATGGAGTGGAATGGACTCTAATGGAATGGAATGGTCTCGAATAGAATGGAATGGAATGGAAATAACTCGAATGGAATGGAATGTACTAGAATGGAGTGGAATGGAATAGAATGCACTTGAATGGAATGCAATGGAATGGACCCGAATTGGATGGAATGGAATGAAAGAAATGGACTCGAATGGAATGGAATTGAATGGAATGTACCAGAATGGAGTGGAATGGAATGGAATGGACTCGAATGGCATGAAATGTAATGGACCCGAATGGAATGGAATGGAATGGAATGGAATGGAATGGAATGGAATGGATTAGAATGGAATGGAATGGAATGGAATGGAATGGACTCGAACGAAATTGAATGGACTCGAATAGAATGGAATGGAATGGACTAGAATGGTATAAAATGGAATAGAATGGAATGGACTGGAATGGAATGGAATGGACTCGAATGGTACAAAATGGAAAAGAATGGAATGGACTCGAATCGAATGGACTGGAATGGATTTGAGTCAAAAGGAATGTAATGGTATGGAAAGGACTCGAACGGAATGGACTCCAATCGAATGGAATGGTCACAAATGGAACGGAATGGAATGGAATGCACTCGAATGGAATACAATGGAATTTAATGTAATGGCCTCTAATGGAATGGAATGGAATGGACTTCAATGTAATAGAATGGAATAGACTCAGATGGAATGGAATGCAACGGAATGGAATGGAATCCATTGGAATTGAATGGACTCGAAGGGAATGGAATGGAATGGAATGGACTAGAATAGAATGGAATGGAATGGACTCGAATGGAATGGAATGGACTAGAATAGAATGGAATGGAATGGACTCGAATGGAATGGAATGCAGTGGAATGGACTCGAATGGAATGGAATGGTATTGACTCGAAAGGATTTGAATGGAGTGAACCCGAGTGGTATGGATTGGAATGGAATGGACTCAAATTGAATGGAATGGAATGGTTTGGGCTCGAATGGAATGGAATGGATTCAAATGGAATGGAATGGAATGGACTCAAATGGAATAGCATGGAATGGAATGGCCTCGAATGCAATGGAATGGACTTAAATGGAATAGCATGGAATGGAATGGACTCGAATGCATTGGAATGGAATGGACTCCAATGGAATGGAATGGACTCGAACGGAATGGAGTGGAATGGACTCTAATGGAATGGAACGGAATTGAATTGACTCGAATTTAATGGAATGGAATGGAATGGAATGAACTCGAAAGGAATGGAAAGTAATGGAATGAAATGGACTCGATGGAATGGAATGGAATGGAATGGATTCAGATGGAATGGAAGGGAATGGAACGGAATGGAATGGAATGGAAGGTTATGGAATCGAATGGAATGCATTTGAATTGAATGGACCCGAGAAGAATGGAAAGGAATGGAATGGAATGGAATGGAATGGAATGGAATGGAATGGAACTTAATGGAATGAAGTGGACTCGAATGAAATGGAATGGATGCAATGGACTTGAATGAACTGGAATGGACTCGAATGGAATGGAATGGAATGGAATAGATTGGAGTGGAATGGAATGGAATGCAATGGAAAAGACTCGAATGAAATGGAATGCAGAGGAATGAACTCGAATGGCATGCAATGTAATGGAATAGACACGAATCAAATGGAATGGAGTGGACTTGAATGGAATGGAATGGAATGGATCTGAAATTAATGGAACGGAATGGAATGGAATGAAATGGAATGGAATGGAATGGAGAGGAATTGAATGGAGTGGAATGGAATGGAATGGAATGGAATGGAATTGAATGGACTCGAATGGAGTGGAATGGAATGGAATGGACTCGAATGGAGTGGAATGGAATGGAATGGACTCAAATAGAATGAAATGGAATGGAACCGATTGGAATGGAATGCAATGGATTGGAATGGACTGGAATGGAATGGAAAAGTACGGAATGGAATGGACTTGAATGAAATAGAATGGAATGGAATGGAATGGACGGGAATGGACTCGAGTGGAAATGAATGGAATTGAATGGAAGGGACTCAAACGAAATGGATTGGAATGGACTCGAATGTAATGGAATGGACTCGAATAGATTGGATTGGAATGGAATGGTCTCTAATGGAATGGAATGGAATGGACTCAAGTGGAATGGAATGCAATGGACTGGAATGGAATGGAATGGAATGGAATGGAATGGAATGGAATGGAATGGATTGTTATAGAATGGAATGGAATGGACTGTTATAGAATGGAATGGAATGGAAAGGAATTGACCAGAATGGAATGGACTAGAATGGAATGGAAAGGATTCGAGTGGAAAGGAATAGAGTAGAAGGCACTCGAATGGAATGGAGTGGAATGGATTTGAATGGAATGGAATGGAATTGAATGGATTCGAGTCGAACAGAATGTAATGGTATGGAATGGACTCGAGTGGAATGGACTCGAATGGAATGGAATGGACACAAATGGAAGGGAATGGAATGGAATGGACTCGAATGGAATACAACGGAATTTAATAGAATGGACTCTAATGGAATTGAAAGGAATGGACTCGAATGGAATAGAATGGAATAGACTTGAATGGAATGGAATGCAATGGAATGGACTCCAATGGAACGGAATGGAATGGAATGCACTCGAATCGAATTGAATGGACTCAAAACGAATGGAATGGAATGGATTCGAATGGAATGCAGTGCAATGGAATTGACTCGAGTGGAATTGAATGGATTGGACCCGAATGGAATGGATTGGAATGGAATAGACTCGAATTGAATGGAATGGAATGGATTGTGCTAAAATAGAATGGAATGGAATGGACTCAAATGGAATAGCATGTAATGGAATGGACTCGAATGCAATGGAATGGAATGGGCTCGAATGGAATGGAATGGACTCAAAAGCAATGTAGTGGAATGGAATCTATTGGAATGGAATGGTATTGAATGGACACGAATGGAATGGAATGTAACGGAACGGAATGAACTCGAATGATATGGAATGTAGTGGAATGAAATGGACTCGAATGGAATGGAATGGAATGGAATAGACTCGAATGGAATCATCATCGAATGGAATCGAATGTAATCATTGAATGGACTCTAATGGAAAAATCATTGAATGAAATCGAATAGAATCATCAAACGGAAATGAATGGAATCATCATCAAATGGAATCGAATGGAATTATCAAATGGAATCTAATGGAATCATCATTGAATAGAATCTAATGGAATCATCAAATGGAATCGAATGGAATCATCATTGAATGGAATCGATTGGGATCATAGAATGGTATCGAATGGAATCATCATCAAATAAAATCAAATGGAATCTTCGAATGGACTCGAATGGAATCATCATTGAATGGAATAGAATGGAATGATCATCGAATACAATCGATTGGAATCATCGAATGGAATCATCATCAAAAGGAATCGAAGTGAATCATCAAATGGAATCAAAAGGAATCATCGAATGGAATCGAATGGAATCATCATCGAATGGAATCCAATAGAATCATCATCAAATGGAATCGAATGGAATCATCAATTAATGGAATCAAATGGAATCATCGAAAGGAAACTAAAGGAATCATCATCGAATGGATTCGAATGGAATCGTCATCGAATGTAACTGAATGGAGTCATCAAATGGAATCGAATGGAATCATCATCACATGGTATCGAAGTGAAACATTGAATGGAATCGAATGGAATCGTCAAATGGAAACGAATGGAATCATCATCAATTTGACTCTAATGGAATCATCATCAAATGGAATCATATGGTATCATCGAATGGAATTGAATGGAATCATCAAATGGGCTCGAAATGAATCATCGAATGGAATCGAATAAAATCATCGAAAGTAATCAAATCTAATTATCATCTAATGGAATCGAATGGAATCATCATCGAATGGAATCGAATTGAATAATAGAATGGAATCAAATGAAATCATCAAATGGACTCGAATGGAATCATCATCGAATGGAATCAAATGGAATCATAGAATGGAATTGGAAGGAGTCATCACCACATGGAATCGAACGGAGTCACCATCGAACGGAAACGAATGGAATCATCATCGAGTGGACTCATCGAATGAACTCAAATGGAATAATCATCAAATGGAGATGAATGGAATCATCATCAAATGGCATCGAATGGAATGATCATCGAATGGAATTGAACAGAATCATCATCGAGTGGAATCAAATGGAATCATTGAATGGACTTGAATGGAATCATCAAATGGAATCGAATGGAATCATGGAATGGACTCAAATGATATCATCATCTAATGGAAACTAATGGAATCTTTGAATGGACTCTAATGGAATGATTGAATGCATTCGAATGGAATCATTAAATGGACTTGAGTGGAATCATCATCGTATGGAATTGAATGGAATCATCATTGAAATGAATTGAAAGGAATAATCATGGAATGGAATTGAATGGAATAATCATTGAAAGGAATCATCATCTAATGGAATTGAATGGAGTCATCATCATTGAATGGAATTGAATGACATCATCAACAAATGCAATCGAAAGGAGTCATCATCAAATGGAATGGAAAGGATTCATCAAGGAATGGAATTGAATGGAACAATCATCGAACAGAAACGAATGGAATTATGGAATGCACTCGAATGGAATCATCATTGAATGGAATCGAATGGTATCATTGAGTGGACTTGAAAGAAACCATCATTGAATGGCATCAAATGGAATCATTGAATTGACTTGAATGGAATCATCATCGAATGGAATCAAAAGGAATCATCGAATGGACTCGACTGGAATCATCATCAAATGGAATGGAATGGAATCTTCGAATGGAATCATCATTGAATGGAATTGAATGGAATCATCGAATGGAATAGAATGGAATAATCATCAAATGGAATCGAATGGAATCATCGAATGGACTCGAATGGAATCATCATCAAATGGAATTGAATGGAATCATCGAATGGCATCGAATGGAACCATCGTCTAATGGAATGGAATGGAATCATTGAATGGACTCGAATGGAAATATCATCGAAATTGAATCGAATGGAATACTCATGGAATTGAATCGAATGGTCTCATCATCAAATGGAATCGAATGGAATCATCAAATGGAATCGAATGGAAACATCAAATGGACTCGAATGGAATCATCATAGAATGGAATTGAATGGAATCATCGAATGGAATCATCATCGAATGGATTCGAATGGAATCATTGAATAGACTCGAATGCAGTCATCATCGAATGGAATCGAATAGAATCATCGAATGGACTCGAATGGAATCATCATCAAATGGAATCAAATAGAATCATCGAATGGAATAGAATGAAATCATCATTGAATGAAATCGAATGAAATCATCAAATGGCATTGGATGGAATCACCATCGAATGGAATCAAATGGAATCATCAAATGGCCTTGAATGGAATCATCATCGATTGGAATCAAATGAAATCATTGAATGGAATTGAATGGAATGATCATCGAATGGAATCAAAAGGAATCAGCGAATGGAATCGAATGGAATCATCGAATGGAATCCAGTGGAATCATCGAATGGACACGAATGGAATCAAAATCGAATGACATTGAATGGAATCTTCGAAAGGACTCGAAAGGAATAATCATTGAATGGAATCGAATGGAATCATCGTATGGACTCGAATAAAAACATCATCGAATGAAATCGAATGGAAAAATCAAAAGGAATCAAATGAAATCATCATCGAATGGAATTATCTCATGAACTGGAATGGAATCTTCATTGAAAGGAATCTAATTGTGTCATAGAATGGACACGAATGGAATCCTCACGGAATGGAACCGAATGGAATCATCGAAAGGACTCGAATGGAATCATCATCACATGGAATCGAATGGAATCATCGAATGGAATGCAATGCAATCATCATCGAATGGAAATGAATGGAATCATCGAATGGAATTGAATAGAGTCACCATTGAATGAAATCCCATGGAATCATCAAATGGATTCAAAAAGAATCATCATCCAAAGGAATCAAATGGAATCAACAAATGGAATCGAATGGAATCATCATCTAATGGAATCGAATGGAATTATCGAATGGAAGTGAATGGAATCATCATCGAATTGAATAGAATGGAATCATCATCTAAAGGAATCGAAGTGAATCATCGAATGGAATAGAAAGAAATCATCGAATGGACTCGAATGGAATCATCAAATGGAATCAAATAGAATCATCAAATGGAATCGAATGAACCATCATCGAATGGAATGGAATGGAAATGTCGAATGGACTCGAATGAAATCATCATCAAATAGAATCAAATGGAATCAGCGAATGGAATCGAATGCAATCATAATAGAATGGAATCGAATGGAATCATCAAATGGAATCATATGGAATCATCATCGAATGGAATCAAATGGAATCATCAAATGGCATCAAATAGAATCATCATTGAATCGAATTGAAAGGAGTCATCTAATGGATGCGAATGGAATCATCATCGAATGGAAATGAATGGAATAATCAAATGGACACGAATGGAATTTTCATTTAATGGAATTGAATGGAATCATCATCAAACGGAATTGATTTGAATCCTCATCGGATGGAATCTAATGGAATCATCAAATGGAATAGAAAGGAATCATCATCTAATGGAATTGAATAGAATCATCAAATGAAAACGAATGGAATCATCATTGAATGGAATCAAATGGAATCATAATCAAATGGAATCTAATGGAATCATCAACGAATGGAATCCAATGGAATCATCATCAAAAGGAACGGAATGGAATCATCGAATGGAAACGAATGGAATCATCGAATGGATTCGAATAGAATCACCATCGAATGGAAAAGAAAGGAATCATCGAATGGACTCGAATGTAATCATCATGGAATAGAATCGAATGGAATCATCGAATAGACACAAATGGAATCATCATTGAATGGAATCAAATGGAATCATCGAATGGACTCAAATGGAATCATCATTGAATGGAATCAAATGGAACCATCGAATGACATTGAATAGAATAATGAATGAATGGAATCTAAAGGAATAATCAAATGGACTCGAATGGAATCATCGAATGGACTCGAGTGGAATCATCATTGAATGGACTCGAGTGGAATCATCATTGAATGGAATCGAATGGAATCATCAAATGGACTCGAATGGAATCATCATCAAATGGAATCTAATGGAATCATCGAAGAGACTGGAATGGAATCATAATCAAATGGAATCGAATGGAATCATCGAATGACATCGAATGGAATCATCATTGAATGGAATGGAATGGAGTCATCAAATGGAATCAAATGGAATCATCATTGAATGGAATCGAATGGACTCATTGAATGGAATCAAATGGAATCATCATCGAATGGAATCAAATTGAATCATCGATTGGAATAGAATGCAATCATCTCAAACAGAATCAAATAGAATCATCCAATGGAATCGAATGGAATCATCATCGAATAGAATCAAATGGAACCATAGAATGGTATCGAATGGGATCATCATCAAATGGAACCGAATGGAATCATCATGGAATGGAATCAAAAGCAAAAATCGAATGGATTTGTAAAGAATCATCAAATGGACATGAATGGAATCATCATCCAATGGAATGGAATGGAATTAATGAATGGAATCATATGGAATCATCATTGAATGGAATCGAATGGAATCATCTAACAGACAGTAATGGAATCCTCATCGAATGGAATCGAATGGAATAATCGAATGGAAACGAATGGAATCCCCATCGAATGGAAGCAAATGGAATCATCAAACGGACCCGAATGCAATCATCATCAAATGGAATCGAACGGAATCTTCATTGAATGGACTTGAATGGAATTATCAAATGGACTCGAATGGAATCATCGAATGGAATTGAATGGAATCATCACAGAATGAATTGAATGGAATCATTGAATGGTCTCGAAAGGAATAATTATCAAATGGAATCGAATGTAATCACCGAATAAAATCGAATGGAATAATCATTGAATGGACTCGAATGGAATCATCATCAAATGGAATCGAACGGAATTATCGAATGGAATCGAATAGAATCATCGAATGGACTCAAATGCAATCAATGAATGGACTCGAATGCAATCATCAAATGGAATGTAATGGAATAATCAATGAACTCGAATGGAATCATCATTGAATGGGAACGAATGGAATCATTGAATGGAATCGAATGGAAACATCATTGAATGCAATCAAAAAGAATCATCAGCAAATGGAATCGAATGGAATCATCATCGAATGGAATACAAGGGAATCATCATCGAATGCAACCAAATGGAATCATCATCGAATGGACCGAAAGGAGTCATCATCGAATGGAATCGCATGGAAACATCATCAAATGGAATTGAATGGAATCATCATCAAAATGGAATCTAATGGAATCATTGAATGGAATTGAACAGAATCATTATCAAATGAATTCAATGGAATTATTGAATGGTCTCGAATGGAATCATCATCAAATGGAATCGAATGGAATCATCGAATAGAATCGAATGGAATAATCATCAAATGGACTCGAATGGAATCAACATCAAATGGAATTGAACGGAATTATCGAATGGAATCAAATAGAATCATCGAATGGACTCGAATGGAATCATCAAATGGAAAGGAATGGAATAATAAATGGACTCGAATGGAATCATCATCGAATGGAATTGAAAGGAATCATGGAATGGACTCGAATGGAATCATCATCAAATGGAATCAAATGGAATCATCCAATGGACTCGAAAGTAATCGTCATCAAATGGAATCAAATGGAATCATCGAATGGACTCAAATGGAATCTTCATCGAATGGAATCATTGAATGGACTCGAATGGAATCATGGAATGGACTCGAATGGAATCATTGAATGGACTCGAATGGAATCATGGAATGGACTCGAATGGAATCATCATCAAATGGTATCGAATGGAAACATTGAATTTACTCGAATGGAATCATCAAATGGAATTGAAAGGAATCATCATCAGATGGAAACGAATGGAATAATCATCGAATGGAATCAAATGGAATCATTGAATGGAATCAGATGGAATCATCATCGAATGGAATCGAATAGAATTATCAAATGAAATCGAATGTGATCATCATCAAATGGACGTGAATGGAATCATCAACGAATGGACTCGAATGGAATCATCATCCAATGGAATCGAATGGAATCAACATCAAATGGAATCGAATGGAAACACCATTGAATTGAATGGAATGGAATCATCATGGAATTGAAATGGATGAACTCATCATCGAATGGATTTGAATGGAATCATCGAATGGAATTGATTGGAATAATCATCAAATGGAATCGAATGGTATCATTGAATGGAATCAAATGGAATAATCATCAGATGGAAACGAATGGAATCATCATAGAATGGAATTGAATGGATTCATGGAATGGAATCATCATCGAATGGAATCGAATGGAATCATCAAAATAAATGGAATGGAATCATCATCGAATGGACTCGAATGGAATCATCATCCAATGGAATCGAATGGAATCAACATCAAATGGAATCAAATGGAAACAACATCGAATTGAATTGAATGGAATCATCATGGAATTGAAGCGAATGGACTCATCATCGAATGGATTCGAAAGGAATCATCAAATGGAATCGATTGGAATTATCGAATGGAATCGAAAGGAATCATCGAATGGAATCGATTGGAATCATCATCGAATGGAATCGAATGGAATCGTCGAATGGTCTTGAATGCAATGATTGAATGGAATCGAATGCAATCATTGAATGGACTGGAAAGGAATCATCATTGAATGGAATGGAATGGTATCATTGAATGGAATCGAATGGAATCATTGAATGGCATCAAATGGAATCATCATCCAATGGAATCAAATGGAATCATCTAACGGACTCATGTGGAATCATCATCAAAAGGAGTCGAGTGCAATCATCGAATGGACATGAATGGAATCATCATCGAATGGAATCAAATGGAATCACCATCACATGG
Organism: Homo sapiens; assembly: GCF_000001405.40. Classification (NCBI taxonomy): domain Eukaryota; kingdom Metazoa; phylum Chordata; class Mammalia; order Primates; family Hominidae; genus Homo; species Homo sapiens. Next base: position 262,394 of record NW_021160000.1, read on the forward strand.
AATAGGATGGAATCATCATCAAATGGTGTCAAAAGGAAACATAGAATGGAATCAAAAGGAAAAAATAGAATGGAATCGAATGGAATCATCATTGCATGGAATTGAATGGAATCATCGAATGGAATCATCATTGAATGAAATCAAAAAGTATCATCTAATGTAATTGAATGCAATCATCATCGAATGGAATCAAATGTAATAATCATCTATTGGAATCCCAAGGAATCATCATCGAATGTATTCGACTGAAATCAACTTCCAATGGAATTGAATGGAATGATCAAATGGAATCGAATGGAATCATCATGGAATGGAATAGAATGGAATCATTGAATGGAATCGAATGAATCCTCATCGAATGGAATCGAATGGAATCCTCCAATTTAATCGAATGGAATCATCAAATGGAATCGAATGAATCATCATCGAATGCAATAGACATGAATCATCGAATGGAATCCAATGGAATCATTATGGAATGGAATCGAATGGAATAATCTAATGGAATCATCATCAAATGGAATCAAAAAGAATCATCAAATGGAATTAATGCAATCATCATCGAATGAAATTGATTGGAATCATCAAAAGGAATCGAGTAGATTCAACATCGCATTTAATCAGATGGAATAATAAAATGGAATCAAATGGAATCATCACATGGAATCGAATGGAATCATCATCGAATGGAATCGAATGGAATCATCAATGAATGGAATCGAATGGAATCATGGAATGGAATCAATTGGAATCATCATCACATGGAATCAAATGGAATCATCAAATGGAATTGAATGGAATAATCATCAAATGGAATCGAATGGAATCATTGAATGGAATCGAATGGAGTCATCGAATGAATCGAATGGAATCGTCATCGAATGGAATCTAATGGAATCATCGAATGGAATTGAATGGAATCATCATTGAATGGAATTGAATGGAATCGTCATCGAATGGAATCGAATGGAGTCATTGAAAGGAATCGAATGGAACATTCATCAAATGGAATTGAATGAAAACCTCAAATGGAATGGAAAGCAATCATTGAATGGAATCGAATGGACTCATCATCAAATGGAATCAAATGGAATCATAGAACGGAATCGAATGGAATCATCATCGAATGGAATCAACTGGAATCATCATTGAATGGAATCAAAAGGAAACATTGAATGGAATCGAATGGAATCATCAAATGAAATTGAATGGAATCATCATCGAATGGAGTCAAATGGAATCATCGAATGGAATCAAATGGAATCATCCAATGGAATCGAATGGAAAAATCATTGAATGGAAACATCTAATGGAATCGGGTGGAATCATCAAATGGAATCGAATGGTGTCATCCTAGAATGGAATCATCCAATGAAAACAAACGGAATCAGAAAATGGAATCAAATGGAATCATCAAATGGAATCGAATGGAATAATCATCCAATGGAATTGAATGGAGTAATCTGATGGAATCAAATGGAATCATCATAAAATGGAATTGAATGCAATCATGGAATGGAATCGAATGGAATCATTATCGCGTGGAATCGAATGGAATCATCATCACATGGAATCGAATGGAATCATCATGAAATGGTATCGAAAGGAAACGTCGAATGGAATTGAATGGAATAAATTGAATGGAATCGAATGGAATCATCATCGAATGGAATTGAATTGAATCATTGAATAGAATCATCAATGAATGAAATTGAAAAAGATCATCGAATGAAGACAATTGCAATCATCATCGAATTTAATCAAAAGGAATCATCATCGAATGAAATTGAATGGAACCATTGAAAGGAATCGAATGGAATAGTCATTGAATGGAATCGAATGGAATCATCGAACGGAATCAAATGGAACAATCCAATGGAATCGAACAGAATCATCGAATGGAATCAAATGGAATCATTGAGTGGAATGGAATGGAATCATTGAATGGAATCATCATCCAATGGAATCTAATGCAATCAACATCGAATGGAATCGAATGGAATCATTGAAAGGAATTGAATAATCATTCAACGGAATTGAATGGAATCCTCGAATGGAATTGAACGGAATTATAGAATGGAATCGAACAGGATCATTGAATGGAATCGAATGGAATCATCATCGAATGGAATCGAGTGGAATCATCCAATGGAATTGAATGAAATCATAATCAAATGGAATCGAATGGAATCATCATCAAATGGAATCGTGTGGAATCATCGAATGGAATTGAATGGAATCATCATCGAATGGAATTGAGTGGAATCATCGAATAGAATCAATTGGAATCATCAAAAGGAATCAAATGGAATCATCATCAAATGGAACCAAATGGAATCAACAAATGGAATTGAATGGAATCATCATCGAATGGATTCGAATGGAATCAACAAGTGGAATCGAATTTAACAATTATCAAATGGAATCATCGAATGGAATCGTATGGAATCATCGAATGGTATCGAATGGTGTCTTCATCGAATGGAATCATCCGATGGAATCAAATGGAATCATCGAATGGAACTGAATGGAATCACTGAATGGATTCGAATGGAATAATCATCAAATGGAATCAAATGGAGTCATCCAATGGAATTGAATTCAGTCATCATCACATGCAATTGAATGGAATTATCAAATGGACTTGAATGGAATCATCATCACATGGAATTGTATGGAATCATCATCACATGGAATCGAATGGAATCATCATTGAATGTTATCAAAAGGAATCATAGAATGGAATTGAAAGGAATAACTCGAATGGAATAGAATGGAATCATATTCGAATGGAATCATATTCGAATGGAATTGAATGGAGTCATCGAATGGAATCATCATTGAATGAAATCAAAAAGAATCATTGAATTGAATTGAATGCAATCATCATAGAATGGAATCGAATGGAATCATCATCAAGAGGAATCGAATGGAAACTTCAAAAGGAATCGAATGGAATAATCATCAAATGAGATCGAATGAAATCCTAGAATGGAATCGAAAGGAATCATCGCACGGAATCGAATGGAATCATCATTGCATGGAATCAAATGGAATAATTGAATGGAATCAAATGGAATCACCATCACATGGAATCGAATGAAATCCTAGAATGGAATAGAAAGGAATCATCGCACGGAATCGAATGGAATCATCATTGCATGGAATCAAATGGAATAATTGAATGGAATCGAATGGAATCATCATCACATGGAATCAAATGGAATCATCATCGAGTGGTATTGAAATGAACCATCGAATGGAATCGAATGGAATAAATCAAATGGAACCAAATGGAATCATCATCGAATGGAATCAAATGGAATCATCAAATGGAATCATCATTGAATGAAATCGAAAAAAATCATCGAATGGAATCGAATGGAATCATCATTGCATGGAATCAAATGGAATCATTGAAAGGAATCTAATTGAAAAAACATCCAATGGAATCGAATGAAATCCTCGAATGGAATCATTGAAAGGAATCAAATGGAATCATCTTCGAATGGAATCAAATAGATTCATGCAATGGAATCAAATGGAAACATCATCACATGGAAGCAAATGGAATCACCATATGGAATAGAATGGAATAATCATTGAATGCAATTATCAAATGGAATAAAATGGAATCACCGAATGGAATCAAATGGTGTCATCATCAAATGGAATCATCCCATGGAATTGAATGGAATCATCAAATGGAATCGAATGGAATCATAGACTGCAATCAAATGAAATCATCGAATGGAATTGAATGGAATCATCATCGAATGGAATTTAATGGAGTCATCCAATGGAATCGAATGGAATCATCATCACATGGAATTGAATGAAATCAACTTCCAATGGAATCGAATGAAATCATCGAATGGAATCAAATGGAATCATCATGGAATGGAATCGAAAGGATTTATTGAATGGAATCGAATGAAATCATCATCGAATGGAATCAAATGGAATCATTGAGTGGAATTGATTGGAATCCTCATCGAATGGAATTGAACGGAATCCTCCAATTTAATCAAATAGATTAATAGAATGGAATCAAATGAATCATCATTGAATGCAATCGACAGGAATCATCGAATGGAATCCACAGGAATCATCATCGAATGGAATTGAATGGAATCATCATCGCATGGAATCAAAAAGAATCATCAAATGGAATTAATGCAATTATCATCGAATGCAATTGAATGGAATCATCGAATGGAATCGAGTAGAATCAACATCACATGGAATCGAATGGAATAAATGAATGGAATCAAATGGAATCATCATCACATGGAATCGAATGGAATCATCATCGAATGGTATTGAAAGGAATCATCGAATGGAATCGAATGGAATAAATCGAATGGAATAGAATGGAATCATCATCGAATGTAATCAAATGGAATCATCGACTGGAATCATCATCGAATGATATCGAAAAAACCATCAAATGGAATCGAATGCAATCATCATCGAATGGAATTGAATGGAATCATCATCGAATGGAATCAAATGGAATCATCAAAAAGAATCGAATGGAATAAACATCAAATGCAATGGAATGAAATCCTCAAATGGAATCGAATGGAGTCATCGAATGGAATCGAATGGAATCATCATCAAATGGAATCAAATGGAATCATTGAATGAAATCGAATGGAATCATCATCAGATGGAATCAAATGGAAGGATCGAATGGAATCGCATGGAATCGTCATTGAATGGAAGTGAATGGAATCATCGAATGGAATCGAATGGAATCATAGAATGGAATCGATTGGAATCATAATCGAATGGAATCGACTGGAATCATCATTGAATGGAATCAAATGGAATCATCATTGAATGGCATCAAATGCAATCATGAAATGGTATCACATGGAATCATATTCGCATGGAATCAAATGGAATCATCATCACATGGAATCTAATGGAATCATCATCGAATGTTATCAAAATGAAACATCAAATGGAATCGAATGGAATAAATCAAATGGAAGTGAATGGAATCATCACGGAATGGAATCGAATGGAATCATTGAATGGAATCATCATCGAATGAAATCGAAAAGAAACATCGAATGGAATCAAATGCAATCATAATCGAATGGAATCGAATGGAATCATCATCGAATGGAATTGAACGGAATCATTGAAAGGAATCGATTGGAGTAATCATCGAATGGAATCGAATGAAATCCTAGAATGGAATCGAATGGAATCATCAAAGGGAATCGAATGGAATCATCATAGAAAGGAATCGAAAGGAATCATGGAATGGAATTGAATGGCATCATAATTGCATGGAATCAAATGGAATCATCGAATGGAATCAAATGGAATCATCGAATGGAATCGAGTGGAATCACTGAATGGAATTGAATGGAATCATCATCGAATGGAATCGAATGGAATCATGGAATGGAATCAAATGGAATCAAATGGAATCGAATGGAATCATAAAATGGAATCAAATGGAATCATAATTGAATGGAATAGACTGGAATCATCATCGAATGGAATCGAATGGAATCATCAAATGGAATCGAATGGAATCATCTAATGGAATCGAATGGAGTCATCAAATGGAATCAAAAGGAGTCATCCGATGGAATCCAATGGAATCATCATCGAATGGAATCGAATGCAATCATGAAATGGTATCAAATGGAATCATCTTCTTATGGAATCGAATGGAATCATCATCACATGGAATCTAATGGAATCATCATCGAATGGTATCAAAACAAAACATCGAATGGAATTGAGTGGAATAAATCAAATGGAACCGAATGGAATCATCATCGCATTGAATCAAATGGAATCATCGAATGGAATCAAATGGAAACATAATCGAATGGAATCGAGTGGAAACATCGAATGGGCTCTAAGGGAATCATCATAGAATGGAATCGAATGGAATCATCATCGAATGGAATCGAATGGAATCATTGAATGGAATCTAATGGAATCATCATCGAATGGAATGGAATAGAATCATCATCGAATGGACACGAATGGAATCATCATTGAATGGAATAGAATGGAAATATCATCGAATGTACTGGAATGGAATCATCATCAAATGGACTCGAAAGGAATAATCACCAAATGTAATCAAATGGAATCATCATTGAAAGGAATCAAATGGAATCATCATCAAATGGAATCTAATGGAATCATCATTGAATGGAATCGAATTGAATCATCATCGAATGGAAACGAAAAGGAAAATCATTGAATGGAATCGAATAGAATCATCGAATGGACTCGAATGGAATCATCATCAAATGGAATCGAATGGAATCATCGAATGGACTCAAATGGAATCATCATCTAATGGAATTGAGTGGAATCATTGAATGGACTCGAGTGTCTGTTCTGATAGGTCTGGGGATATCTAAAGGACTCATGAAAGGCTTTTTTTCTGTGTTGCTAGAATACAGAACAGATAAGGAATGGACATTTGTAAGAAAATGCAAGGAGACCTAACAAACCACAGATGCTTAGGGCAAAAATTAGAGTTTACACATATAGTAGATCACCTTCAGCACAGCAAGAAAAGTTGGAGAAGAGTATTTCAAAAACTAAGACATACAAAATCATTCACATACATGGGAGAGTCTAGAAAGTCACTTGTATTCATAGGTTAAGCCACATGCTGACAAATGTCATAAACAGACCCTACACTTTTACCTTGGCCAATCCCTCCCCTCCGTGCAAGCTCTGTGCATAAGTGAACTTGAACTTTACTCAGTGAAAGAGTGAACACACACTTTGTGCAGCTTTAAAGAACCCAGCACAAAGCCAGTCTGCATGGCCTAGAGACATATTTTGCTGGACAACGATTCCTTGTTTTTCTTTTTGTTTATCTTGTATTTGCCTGTTTGATTGGTTCCTGACATACAAGAAAATCACTGTCAAAACATTAGCTTAACATTTGTTATGGAAACAAAAAGACTTTGGTGACCACACCTTATAAAGCAAACAGTTTTGTAAATCACTTTGGAAAATTTCACTAAAAAAAAATCCTTAACAATATAATAAGTAAAGAAAATTTAAAACCACAAAACATTACTGTGTTTGTAGGGGGGGCCTGATTTACAGAGTAACCACATAGTAATTATAATTATTATAATGTACAGTTTTCAAAAAAAGTTACAAGGCATACAAAGAATGGGAAAGTATGGCTCATTGAAAGGAACAAAACAAATTGACAGAGAATATCTCTAAGGGAATCCAGACATCAAACTTACTAGACAAAGACTTTAAAACAACTCTCTTCATTATACTCAAATGTCAAAAGGAAAACATAAACAAAGAAATCAAGGAATCAGAACAAATATTAAAAAGTAGGAATATCAACAGAGATAGCAGAAATTCTGGAGTGGAAAACTACAACGATAAAAATTTAAAAATCACCAGAGGGATTTAAGAGTATATTTGCACACACAGAAGAAGTCATGAGCTTGAAGATAAGAAAATGGAAAACATTGACTCAGAAACAGATAAAAAATGAGCAGAGACTAAGGAATCTGTGGGACATCATCAAATAGACCAACATTCATATTCTAGAAGGATAAATTATGTTGTTGAAAACTTTAGCATTCCTTCTTTTCACCTTTCTTTCTTCCTCCCTCCCTTTCCTCCTCCTTTTTACTTTTCTTCCTCTTCCTTTCTCTTCTTCTGTCTCTCCTTCATTATCCCTTTCACTCTTTTTCTCTTTCTCCCTTTCTCTTTTTTCTTTTCTTTCAATTATCTCAATTACTAAGAGATGTTTAAATACCCTTGCCATGTGAGTTGATATGGTTATTTCTCCCTTTAGTTCTCTTTTGAGATTTATAGTCACTCTAAGTAAAGAGATAACCCAAACATAAGCCTCACAAACAGGCTTCCATACCATTCTTAATTTGGTCCTGTAATTCTTCATTGCTGTATTAACTTTCTGATGCTTTTAAGGATGTTTTATAACAAATTGTTTAGTTTTTTCCACTGGAATGTTTATACTGAATTATCTAATTCATATTGTAAGTATATAGGGAGTTTAATATAAAATTATTAAACTGATATTTGTGAAAGAATATTTTTCATAAATTTGAAAGTGAGAAGTTTTAAGCTTGTCATTCCCAAGTAACCCTCTTAATGAGAGGCATCAGCATGCTTCAGTGACAGCTGTCATCTTCCAGTGCTGAGAGTCATCTTTGAGTTCTCCATTTCACTCCCTACACTCCAATTTAGCTGCAGTTCTCTTGGCCAGTCCTATGAAATACATCCATGACCTAACGACTTCTCACCACTACTACCACTCATACTGACAGCATTCTCACCTAAGTCACTACCTTTTTTCTCTGGATTACAGTAGCCTCCCAATTTATTTGCTCACATAACCTATTTATTCTACACAGTGCACCAGATACACCCCTTTGAAATGCAAACACAATCATGTTATTCTCTGGTGAAATTATCTCATATATTCCTATCGCATTTAAAATTAATTCAGAATAATCCCATGATTATCAAAACCCTACATGCTCTTCCACAACATGGTTTACTTCCAAGATATCTCTTCAACTTTTTTTTCACTGTACTGAATTTGTGACTAATAGTCATATTTTTGTTTTTGTTTTTGCTCAAAAGAATTTCAGAACGAATGACTTTGGGATCAGAAAGCCACCATTCTAATTGATGGTTCCACGACTACACGGGCTCACACTCCTAAGAGCAAAAGTAAATCATCACAAAGGTGCTTTCTGATAGTTCTAGAGAATGGAGAATTACTGTAACATCTTTCTGATTTTAGGAGAGGTAGCAGTTCCCTTTTTAGTCTAAACGCTATTTTTTTTAAAGCTCAGCCAAGAGAATCCATTATAATTTTCAAATGTGTGTAACTTAAATTCTCATATGAAATACCACTATGCTTAAATTAGTCAAAACATTTTCCCCATCTACAACTCTATCTTGTCATTGCAATCATTTTCACAAAACTGACTGCAGCTCACAGACCCTAAAAGGAGAAAATCCAGGGCAGGTTATCTGATCTAGTTAGTTTCGAAGACAGGATCCAGAGATTATTTAATATGTAATAGGTCACCTGAAATGTTTACTGAAAACAGCTTGGATCAGCCCAGTTTTCTACCACTGAACTATGCATTTGCTTTAAAAAACACAACTCTGGGGAATATTGGCTGCTTCCAACTGTGTTGAAGGTGTTAAAGAAAAGAGCATAAAATTAAAAATGATCATCTGAGGCCTTTATAGTCTCTGCTCAAGAGACTAGAGTCTTCCATTCTTAACAAAACACCCAAATATCTTCATAATTGGGCAAAATTTAAATATCAGAGATAATTTTATCTTGAAGATTGTTAAATTATAATGGTGAGTCACTACCTTGCCACGTCTCTAAGTCAAAAATTAGGTCTTTGTTTAGGAATCAATGGTACTCTGCAACTTGGAAATAGGAAGATTTTAGAGGACTCAAACACTGACTTTCTTGTGTGCAAAAAAAAGACAAGTCTTTCCTTGCAAGGATACCTCTAATGCTCATACACCACCTCCCCTAACGTTAATATAGCTTCCAGGTCACTAACCAGTGTCAGAGAGCAGCCCATGCAACTAGAAATTCAAAAGATGTCGAACACAGGGTCAAGCCTAGAATAAGAAGTCTTAGCTAATTAAGTATGCTTTTTTCCCCAAATTCATATTAACAAAAACTTGGATGTCAGAGAATGCATTCTAAGTTCACTCAATGTAGGAGGGAGAAACATAATTTTAAATTAAGAGCTGAAGCATTCTTGTCCTATCAGAAAGCAAGGAAAACAAAATATCACACCACAGGAGGGATTTCACAAATTAGTGTCAACATCAAAACCTTAAAATAGTCAAGGAGAATGCAGATTCACAATGAACTCTTGTACTTGTTTTGTTCAGAGAAGAGATGGTTCTGAGAGAATGACAGTGAACTAACCCCAGCTGGTTTAGTTGGTGCTTTCAACTGCTGCTTCTGATAAACTCCTTTAGCTAGAATAAATTGACGAGGATTTTGGCATGTGGTATTAGAGATGGTTATTAATTTTTTTCCTCTTATTTGCATTGTTCAATATAGTAAATACTAGCTGTATATGGCTACTTCAATTCAGATTAATTACAATGAAATATACTTAAATATTGAATTTTTTAGTCACTGTTGGTTCATTATTGAATATCTTCAGCTAAGATTTCCCATCTAAATACACTAAGAGGTGGCTTAGTTAACTGGTCGTCCACAAATATTAAAGCTGTTGTTAACTCCTGATATATTCTCTGCAAAGAGAATATTCATGAGCCTCCTCCTGAAATCAGCAGCCTAGAGATAGTTTTATAAATTTGATACAAGTTAGAAATCTATACTCTTTAAGTTTTTGAAATATTAGCTTCCCAGGGAAGAAAATCAAATTCATAAGATATGTTAGGACAATTTAACTCAAGATGTTCAAAACTGAAATGACATATTCTACAATATGTGATAAAACCACCCCCTAACAACTTAAAGCAAAATAGGGATTGACCTTAAAGACCTGCCTTTTCCTCATCCTCCAGCCAATCAGTTTTCAAATCTTGCATTTTATTTTGAAAGGTCCTTATCCCCCTGGTCTCTTGTTTCTAGACTTGGCACATATTTAAGTTTGTTACCGCTATCTACTGACTTTTCTCTCTTCAAACAGTATCTATGCCTGCCAAATGTGAACACACAAAAAACAAATCAGAATGTGCCATTCTGATTTAAACTGCTTATTAGTTAATACCCTCAAGATAACATCTGGGTTCTTAGCTGCAATGAGTCAAGCCTACTTACATCTTTTTTTGTGTTTGGCTGCACATTTCCTATCACATCACACTCCAGCAATGCCAAGCTGTGCCAGCCTTCTACCCCATCTCCACTATTTTGTCCTCCGCCGCCGCAGCTTTTTGCCTGCCCCGGCTTTTTGCCCCCTCGCCGCCGCGGCTTTTTACCTGCCGCGGCTTTTCGCCCCCCGCCGCCGCGGCATTTTGCCCCTGCCGCCGCAGGTTTTTGCCCCCCCCGCCGCCGTGGCTTTTTCCCCCCACCCCGCCTCGGCTTTTTGCCCGCCCTGGGTTTTTGCCCCCCTGCCGCCGCAGCTTTTTGCCCCACAGCCGCCGCGGCATTTTCCCCGCCGTGGCTTTTTCCCCCCTGCCTCCGTGGCTTTTTACCCGCTGCGGCTTTTTGCCCCCACCCTGCCTTGGCTTTTTGTCCGCCACGGCTTTTTGCTCCCCGTCGCCGCGGCTTTTTCCTCACCCGGCTTTTTAGCCCCCGCCACGGTGTCTTTTTGCCCCCACCCCGCCTCGGCTTTGTGCCCCCCTCCCGGCCGCGGCTTTTTGCCCGCCGTGGCTTTTTGCCCCCCGCCGACGCGGCTTTTTGTCCTCCGTTGACGCGGCTTTTTGCCCCCCGCCGCGGCTTTTTGCCCCCTGCCGCCGCGACTTTTTACCCGTCGCGGCTTTTGCCCCTGCCTGCTGCGGCATTTTGTCCCCCGCCCCCGCAGCTTTTTGCCCCCCGCCGCCGCGGCTTTTTGCAGCCCCCCGGTGCTGCCATGGCTTTTTGTCCGCCGCGGCTTTTTGCCCCTCCGCCGCCGTGGCTTTTTGTCGCCGCTGCTTTTTGCCCGCTCCAGCTTTTTGCACAACCGCCGCCGTGGCTTTTTGGCCGACCCGGGTTTTTGCCCCCCCGCCGCCGTGGCTTTTTCCCTGCCGTGGCTTTTTACCCCCTGCCCCCGCGGCTTTTTACTCTCCGTGGCTTTTTGCCCCCACCCCGCCTCGGCTTTTTGCCCCCCCGCCTACGCGGCTTTTTGCTGCCGTGGCTTTTTGCCCGCCGTGGCTTTTTGCCCCCGCCACCTTTGCAACCTTAATTTCACTTGAAATCTAATTTCCCACTGCCAAGCCACCTAACATATTTATATGTTAGACTCTGGGAATTAGGACATGAACGTTTTTGGGGGGCCATTATTTTGTCTACAGCAGACAGAATCTACACTGCCTGGGAGGCGCAGAGTATCTTGGGGGAGGCAGGGCCGGCCCTTCCCTCCGTGGACACCCAGGTTTCCCACAGGCCCTACATGTCTGTGGGATCCCTGCGTGACCAGGTGATCTACCCGGACTCAGTGGAGGACATGCGAAGGAAGGGCTACTCGGAGCAGGACCTGGAAGCCATCCTGGATATCGTGCACCCACACCACATCCTGCAGTGGGAGGGAGGTAGGAGGCCTGGGGCTGGCAGCCGCCCTTTGTCCCACCCTGGCCTCTCCCTTGGCCTCCAGGGAGGGAAGATTATCTCAACATCCAGGAGTCTAAAGTGCCAGGTGCCACAGGGGCAGGGCAGAGGGTGCTACCTCTGAGGCCCGCCTACCAGGGAGGACCAACACCACACAGATGGTCCCAGGTGGCATGGGTGCTCTAGGGAAGGGGGCACCTAGCAGGGATGCGCACCTCATTGGGGGACCCAGGATACCCTCTCCCAGAAAAAAGGGGTCTGAGCTGAGCCCTGCAGAATGCTAAGTGGTTACCCCATCCAGGAGCCAGGGGCAGCAGGGCAGAGTGTGGCCCGAAGGCTTGGTGGTGTGAGAGGCTGGCTCACAGAGGGCCCTCCGGACCAGGCGGGAGCCTAGGCATTCCCTGAGCAGGATCAGACGCTCTTCGAAGGACCATGGGGCGGTGGGCAGGGGCAGCCTGGGAGGGGCAGGCACATGTGTGCAGTGATAGCTACTGTCAGGAGGTCTGTGCAGATGCTTGGAGGGGGCTGGGGTCAGCAGAGTCGGGTGGATTCAGAGATGAGTTCACTGAAAAGGAGGCCAGACTGAGCTGTTTTCTTGTCCTGGGCTTATCAAGGAATACTGCTTGTCCACAGTGTCTGTCGGGCCGGGAGAGCGGAGGAGGAGAGGGGGGTGCAGCTACAGGGACACAGTAGATGGAAAGTTCAGTTCTGTCTTTGAATTCTGAGCCTCTGGGTTCTGCTTCCAGCCCCCACTGCTGGGTGCGAGATGGCCCTGGGCAAGGACCTCGCCTTGCTGGAGCTCCCCTTCATGGTTCAAGGGCACAGGCACCAAGCCCTCCCTCGGTGGCAACATGAGAAAAAGTGGCTCCTGCAGGAAATGACCAGGGTGTTGTCACCTGCCTGTGGAGGAAGCGGGAACACAGGTGGCGATGGTGGTGGAGCAGCCCCTGGCCAGGCCCTGCCTCTTGCTCCTGCTGCCCTTGGCCTGGGAGCATATGGCCTCTCCCACCTCTGTGGCAGCCTGAATGCCCAGGGCCTGTGGCCGGCCAGCATGAGCCGTTAGGATGGAGTTGAGCTGCAAGGAACAGAACCAGCCTCCCCACAGTAGTGGCTAAGATCATCTGTGAGTTTATCCTACTGAGCTGTTAGGTCCCAAGAGAGCCAGGCCACGGTTGCCAGGGCAGGCCCTGCTCTGTGAAGACCCCAAGGCTCTAGGATTTTCGACCATGTCGCTCTGCTGTGTGTGGCCTCCATTCCCAAAGTCACCTCATGATCCAGGAGGGCTGCTGCAGCCCTCACATCATGTCCCAGGCTGTAGGATGGAGGAAGTAGAAGGGAAGGGGCAAAAGGTATGTGCCTTCTGTCTTTTAAGGAAGGTTCCAGAAACCGCCATATTGAATACTTACAGTTATATCTTATTGACCACAACTTAGTCTCATGCTCACACCTCACCACAAGGCCACCTGGGAAGCGTAATCTCTACTCTGGGTGGCCATATACCATGTCGCCACTTCTAGCCCTGGGCCGCTGGGGAAGGCAGCATGGGCGAGAAGACAGGAGGGGCCACTTCTGCCACAGTCCCCCGGCTAATGGAGCAGCCGGCTCACCTGCTTGTTCAAGCAGCCCACTCGAGCCTTGCCAAAGTGCTGGCACGGGGCAGTGACAGGAGGCCCAACCCCTGTGGGTGACAAGCCCCCGGTCTGGGGAGAGCACTCAGGCCGCTCTGGAGCTCTGTGCCAAGGAACTGTATGGTTGTCCTGGGGCTGCCATAAACCACAGGGGTGGATCATCTCCTAGCTCCAGCAGTCCGAGATCCTGGTACCAGCAGGGTGGGTTCCTTCCGGGTGCCATGACAGAAGGATGTGTTCCAGGCCTCTGTCCTCGGCTCGCAGATGGTCCACTTCTCCCTGTATATCTTCACCTCGTGTTCCCCTGTGCACGTCCTCTGCTCGCACACCCCCTTTTTATGAGGACACAGTCATATTGAATTAGGGTCCACTCTGATGACCTCATCTTAGTGTGATCACCTCTGCAAAGGACCTATCTCCAAATAAGGTCACACTAAAGTGTTGGGGCTTGGACTCCACCATATCTCTTCTGGGGGAAGGCATGATTCCAGTCCCCACTCCTCCATGATTAATGCCTGTCAGACAGATAAGGACGCAGAGGCACAGGGGCCCTGTCGTCACAGCTAGCCCATTCCCGCAGCTCCCCAGCTCCCCGGCTGGCCCCCAGGTCTGGGTACTGGTGGAACTGAGCCAAGACCATTGCCCCTTCCTAGGTTGGGAGGCTATGTGTGACTGGAAGGACATCCTGCCAGGTGGTGAGAAGCAGAGAATCGGCATGGCCCGCATGTTCTACCACAGGTGAGCACTCCAGGCTGGCAGCCTCCCTGGGGTCCCCTGGAAGGAGAAGTAGCAGCTGTGGGGAGGCCTGGGCTCAGTGGAGCCTGAGCCGGGCTGGGGTGTTGGGCCCTGGAGGGTGCACAGACTCTTCTCTCGGACCGGACCCACAGGCCCAAGTACGCCCTCCTGGATGAAGGCACCAGTGCCGTGAGCATCGACGTGGAAGGCAAGATCTTCCAGGTGGCCAAGGACGCAGGCATTGCCCTGCTCTCCATCACCCTCCAGCCCTCCCTGTGGTAGGTGCCCTGTCTCCCTGCCTGGGGTCAGTGGGAGTGGCTGCCTGAGGGGAGGAGGTGGCCTGTTGGGCCAGGCGGCAGCAGCAGGCGGCTGTCATCATCAGCCCTCGTGCCGTGCCCCTGACCCTGTCCCTCTCCTGGCCAGGGAGTACCACACACACTTGCTACAGTTCGATGGGGAGGGTGGCTGGAAGTTCGAGAAGCTGGACTCAGCTGCCCACCTGAGCCTGACAGAGGAGAAGCAGCGGCTGGAGCAGCAGCTGGCGGGCATTCCCAAGATGCAGCGGCACCTCCAGGAGCTCTGCCAAATCCTGGGCGAGGCCGTGGCCCCAGCGCACGTGCCGGCACCTAGCCTGCAAGGCCCTGGTGGACTCCAGGGTGCCTCCACCTGACCCCACCCTCTCCAGCCCCTTCCCCGCCCCCAAGCTCGAATCACATGAAGGAGACAGCAGCACCCACCTGCGCACGCACCCCGCCCCTGCATGCCTGGCCCCTCCTCTTAGAAGACCCTTCCCGACCTCGGGAAAGTAGATGTGGAGGGTGGCACCCTGCGTAACCCTAGCCCTGTCCCTCCCACTCCCTGGGGGGGCTATTCCACAGTGGCTGGGCCCTGTCCAAGGCAGTGAGTCCTCTACTTTGCTCCGTAGAGGAAGCTGGGGTACAAGGGGCCCAGTGCTGGCCACACAGCAGCGCAGCCGAGTCCCAGGAGCCCCTCAGGCCACAGCCCCTGGTGCTGCAGGTGGCCTCCCTCCTCGTCAGTCTCTCAAAGACCCCATGGTCCATCCCCTGAGGGTGGCCAGCCAAGGCTCCCATCCCGTGCGATGCCATAAAAGCCGCCCAGTGGTACCCACGGTCACACGGAGCGCCTCACCTGCATCCTCTCCCCCACAAGAGCCCCGAAGATCCCATGGGAGAGGGACACACAGCACTGCCTGCCAAGAGAGAATGTAGGCCCCGCCCCCTCGGCCCCTCACCTCCTCTTTCTACAGTCTAATTTATTGGATTACCTATTCATAGCCATCTCTGTGGCCAATGTGACTACCCTGCCAGCAGCGGGGACGGCCCAGCCTCTGAGTACCCTGGGGCCCCGGCTCCCACTGGTGCCAAACCCAGCCCCTGTGGCCGTCACCCCGCCAGCCTACACTGCCAGCCACCACCTGGCCACACGGACCTTTGCTTGCTAGCGGAGAGTGCGGACACCATGTTCCCAGCTCAGTACCAAAGAGGGGTCACCAGGGGGAGCTGTCTGCAGAGCCAGCACCTGCCCGAGAGAGACCCCACCGCCACCTTGTGCCTTTCCCGGGCCCTCAGCCTTCAGGCTGGGCGCCATCCCGAGTCCCCCCCCCGTAAAAGCCTCCATTGGCAAATGCAGTCCTTCCCCCCTGCCTCAGAGTCTGGTGGTGTCTGCTGCGGGTCTTGGGGAGAGATGGAGGAGAGAGAGTGGGTTGCCTGTGGGGGAAAGAGTGAGTTTGGGAAAGGAGTGGGCCTGACCCCCAAGCCCCTCCGTGGGGGAAAGTCACCAGAAGACATGGTCCAACGTGCCCTCCATCGAGCCTCACGCCAATGCTCTTAGGATTCCTGTGACGGTGGCAGGGCAGAACCTGCAACAACATTGCACAGAAATACTGGCTGAGCCCAAATAGGACTAGGGGAGGGGATCATGCTGGTCCCTGTGGGAAGAGCACGAAGGCAAGAGAAGGGATGTCTAAGCTGCCACACAGGGTGCTGCTGGCCCTTCTAGGGAGAGGAGGCCACTTGTGCAGGGGCCTTGGGGGAACTGGGAGCACAGTGCAGGGTGTTCCTGCTGCATGCAGGGGAAGGGAGGGCAAGGGAATGGAGGGCTGTGGCCGGCGGGCCTTGGAGGCCACACTACAGAGACAGGACTTAGCCCAGAGGCCACTGAGGAGCTTTCAGTAACAGGGAAGCAGTGTCGAGTACTGCAGGCCACGTGGCTGCATTTGAGGGTGGCTGGTGGGAATAGGGTGCGGCAGCCCATCTGGCCTCGGAGGCATGAGAACTGAGAACAGCTGTACGGCCATACCTTTATGCATGGATGGCCATAGCCTCCCAAAGGTGGGACAGCCTGAGTGTTCATCAACAGACAAATGGAGAAACAGCCTGTCCATAAGGCGCGGTGCCATTCCACCATAACACGACGGATAGACCTCAAAGAGTTCATGCTGGGTGAAAGAAGCCAGACACAAATGTCCAGAATAGGCTCATCGGGACAGAAAGCAGATGAGTGGGTTTCAGGGGCTGGGGCAGGGGAAGGAAAATGGGGCAGGGGCAGTCCTTTTTAAGAAATTTTGTATTTATATTTTATTTTTTAATGAGACAGACAGGGTCTCACCCTGTCACCCAGGCTGGAGTGCAGTGGCGCAGTCATAACTCACGGCAGCCTTGATCTCCCGGGCTCAAGCAATCCTGCCCCAGCCTCCTGAGTAGCTGGAACCACAGGCGTGTGCCACCATACCCTGCTAATTTTGTGATTTTTTTTTTTTTGTAGACAGGATCTCACTATGTTGCCCAGGCTGGTCTCAAACTGCTGAGCTCAAGCGATCGCCCTGCCTCAACCTCCCACAGTGCTGGATTATAGGTATGAGCCACCACACCCAGCCTCAGGTTTCTTTTTATTTTGAAGAAAATGTTCTGGAACTATAGAGCATACTAAATGCCACTGAATTGTGCACTTTAAAGGGATTGATTGTATATTTTGTAAATATCGCCTCAAAAACAGACAGATAGATGACTGATGGATAAATAGATACATAGATATATAGATATACAGACATGATATAGACAATTGATCAATAGATGATGGGTGATTCATAGGTGCTAACTGATAGATAAAATACACGATAGATACATGGATAGATGAATAGAGAGAGATGATAGATGATTTAAAAAAATTTTTTAGAGATGAGATCTCGCTATCTTGCCCAGTCTGGACTTGATCTGCTAGCATCAAGCAGTCCTCCTGCTTCAGCCTCCTGAGTTACTGGGACTACAGACACATGCTACTGTGCCTGGTGATAGATAAATTATTGAAAGATAGACATGATAGAGGCATAAATGATAGATAGATGGATAGACATGATAAAGGGTGGATAGGAAGATACATGGGATAGATCAATGATTGATTATAGAAGTAAATGATATAGATTAATAGATTATTGATTATAGATTAATAGGTGGATACCTGATTGATAGATGATTGATCGATTGTTTGGTTGACTGATGGAGAGAGACAGAGAAGCAAGCATAGCCATTGCAGCCACCCAGACAAGACTTGCTGAGGACTGGAGTTCCAGAAGTTTCGAGCAGTTGGAAGAACTTGACAGGCATGGGGGCAGCTTCTTCAGGGAGTAGAGGGGGCAGCAAGATACCACTGGGTTCTGGTTGGAAGGTTAGGTGAGCGACAGCACCCTTGGTGGACAGAGGCAGCTCCAAAGGAGGGGAAGGCCTGGGGAGCAGGTGCAGCCCGAGGGGATGGTGCGTAGGCAGTTGGTTCAGAGCCTGGGGCTCCTCAGTGGGACATGGGTCAGCAGGGAGGCCAGTGGTCATTAAAGTTTGGATGGAGACAGCATGGCTGAGGGGAGGGGCATGCTTGGCATCTCATTTAGGGGACAGGAGGTAGACTGTTTACCTGTATTTTGAGATTAGGATTTATTCCTGATCCCAGGAGGTGGCCTATTCGGAGGGCTGGGAGTTGTTCCTCCATTTCTTTTGATGATTGTGTAAGTCGCCCATGCTTGATCATAAACCCTTTTTGTTTATTTTTGACACATAGCTGGAATAGCTCTAATTACTAGAGACAGAAGGAGACACATCTGGCAAAGACCATCCAAAAGGAAGCTAGTGGAGAGAAGCTCATATCTCACAAAGTAGGCTCCAGGGCAAAATCATTATTAGGATTAAAAGTGATTGCAGCATACGGATGTATTCATTCCAAAGCATTCACTGGTGGGGGAGGGGTGGGGGAAAAAGAATAAATACATAAATAATTTAATTATTTTAAAAGAAGTATTAGTGGCCAGGCATGGTGGCTCACGCCTGTAATCCCAGCATTTTGGGAGGCCAAGGTAGGCAGATCACCTGAGTTCAGGAGTTCGAGACCAGCCTAAACAACATGGTGAAACCCTGTCCCTACTGCAGTACAAAATTAGCCAGGCGTGGTGGCTCATGCCTGTAGTCCCAGCTACTAGAGAGGCTGAGGCAGAACTGCTTGAACCTGGGAGGCGAAGGTTGCAGTGAGCCAAGATCAAGCCATTGCACTCCAGCCTGGTTGACAGGAAAAAAAAAAAAAAAAAAAGAAGAAGCATTAGCCATTCTGATCTTGTGTGCACCTGCATAATGATAGAGCCTCAGATGACTACAAAACAAAAAAGTGACAAGAAAAGGAAAAATTAATAAATGAGCACCTTCTCCACACAGGAAATTATACCACTTCTCACTGGAACTGCTGGTTTAAGCAAACTCAATTAGGAAGAATATAGAAAAATTGGGCCAGGCATAGTGTTTCATGCTTGTAATCCCAACACTTTGGGAGGCGAAGGCAGGCAGATTACTTGAGGTCTGGAGTTTGAGACCAGCTTGGCCAACATGATGAAACTAAAATAAAAAATACAAAAATGAGCCAGATGTGGTGGCTCATGCCTGTAATCCCAGCTACTCGGGTGGCTAAGGCAGGAGATTCACTTGAACTTGAGGTTTCAGTGAGCTGAGATCATGCCCCTGCACTCCAGCCTGGGCAACAGAGTGAGACTCTGTCAAAAAATAAAAATAAAAAGAATATGGAAAAGTTGAACAAACTTGATTTAGTGGACACCCAAAAACTACAGACCACACATTGTTTTCAAGTTCACCTTGGACATTTACCAACACTCACCATGTCCTAGGCTGCAAAACAAGACTCAACAAATAGCAAAAGAACTTGCATCACACCAGCCATGTTCTTGATGTAACAGAATAAAGGCATAAATTGGCAACCAAACTAAAATTAAGGGTTCCCCTATGTTTGGAAATTTAAAGATACACTACTGGCCAGGCACGGTGGCTCACACCTATAATCCCAGAGCTTCGGGAGGCCAAGGCAGGAGGATCCCTTGAGCCCAGGAGTTCAAGACCAGCCTGGGCAACATAGTGAGACCCCCCATCTCTATAAAACTAAATTAAATTATTTTTTAAATTAAAAAAATAAAAAATAATGCACTGGTCCGAGAAGAATTAGAATGAAAATCTAAAAGCATTTAGAACCGAACAATGAAAACTATGTACAAAAGCTTAAGCCATGTAGCCCAAGCAGTACTACAAGGAAATTTGAAAAAAAAAAGTGTGGCCAGGCGCGGTGGCTCATGCCTGTAATCCCAGCACCTCGGGAGGCCAAGGCGAGCAGATCACCTGAGGTCAGGAGTTAGAGACCATCCTGGCCAACGTGACGAAACCCCATCTTTACTAAAAATACAAAAATTAGCTGGGCGTGGTGGTGAGCACCTGTAATCCCAGCTACCTGGGAGGCTGAGGCAGGAGAATTGCTTGAAACTGGAAGGTGGAGGTCGCATTGAGCTGAGATCGTACTGCTGCACTCCAGCCTGGGCAAGAAGAGTGAAACTCCATCTCAAAAAAAAAAATTGTAAAAAATAGAAATAATATTATGAAGTACAGAGGGATCTCCCTGCAGGCACCACTGGGAGCTGAAACATCAGGGGCACCTGGGGGGTGAAAGACATGAGTGGGAACAACTTCAGCCCTTGCTTCTCCTCCAAACACCACTAAAAGGAATGCAAAGGGATTGCAGATGTAAAAGGGAAGAGTTCACAGCAGAGAGTGAGAGGAGCGCCTGCCAGGAACATCACAGAAGCTGGAAAACAAGTTAGGGAGTGATAACTGATTCAAAGGATCAGCGTGAACTTGGAAAAAAGTGGTGGGAAGCACCAAGGGCACAGGCCCACAGAGGAAAGGCCACGTGAGGCCACCACCCAGAAGATAGGACTTGGAAGAAACCAACCCTGCTGGCACCGTGATCCTGGGCTTCCAGCCTGCAGGACTGTCAGACCATTACGGTGTTGGACTGACACTGTAAAGAAAGAAGTAGTGATAGCACACATGGTTGTCTCACTCCAGTTCTAAAAGGGGGAAGGATGCCGGGTGTGGTGGTCTCCAGAAGGCCCTTCCATGTTTCTCTGTGGCACCCACAGTGCCTGGATGTCAGCACTGGGAGAAACCGCCTCCAAATTCATCTGTAAAATCCGAGCATCAGTGAGCTCAACTCTCCCGCTTTCTCAGCTCTCTGTTTCCATTAGGTTTGGTTGATCTGGGTCAGGGCCAGCATCAGAGGTAAATCCAAAGCTGTTCTCTGTGCACTGACCTCTTGTCCCTTCTCTTACATGTCTGCCATGTCCACTAGCCTGTGAGCTTCAGGAGACAAAGGAGCATGTTTCTTCTTCCTGATACCCCTGAAACTTGCACAGTACATGCTATAAAATGCAGATTCAATGAGGGATCTTTGCAATACAATTTTGAGAAAGAATCATGAACCAGGATTTAGCGTCTCTTCCCATCAAACCCCAGGCCCATAGAGCAATTGCCTTTACCTGTGATGCACACCTCCTACCTGTCCTCCCCGCAGCCCGGCATCTCTGTCCTGCAGACCAAACACAAAACTCATTGCCATCCCTCTTCAACCTGGCTTCCTTTCTGACTTCCCTTCAGGTGCCCCAGGCAGAACCATGGGGATCATCTGACCCTCTGTCTGCCTCATCCTTCCCTATCCCACCAGTCCATGTCCTACTGACTCAGTCCTTAAAGTCCCTCTCGCTCCCCACCGGATCCTCAGTGTCTGGTAGTACGGCGCCTGACATGGGAGGTACACAGCGACCACTAGGTGAATACAAGAATGATGTGATTGGCCAGGCGCAGTGGCTCATGCCTGTAATCCCAGCACTTTGGGAGGCCGAGGCAGGCGGATCACGAGGTGAGGAGATCGAGACCATCCTGGCTAACAGGGTGAAACCCGGTATCTACTAAAAATACAATTCTGGTCATGCGCAGGTACTATTCATCAAGAAAGGTATTACAACATCAGAAATGTGTTCAAAATGTATCCGTACTTTGACATATTAATGAAGTAATCACATTCTACACAAAACTACTCCATATGGAATATTGGGGAGGGGGTGTTCCAAATAAAGAGACTGAGGATTTCTCATGAGAACTCAGTGTCTGCTAGAAAATATCTAAGTAAAATATTTTACTTATGCAGAAAGTGTGGATGTTTGTGCATCAAAAGTTTCAAGAATCCCTAAAATGTACAATGGAGATGAGGAGAAAATATCAGAATTTCCCAGCACCAGAAATGAGGCAAGAAAAAATTCAGAGGAGTTGTAAATGTGAAAAGCCAATGGCTGGTCACACAGCAACATTGAAAACCTTGTGCCAGGACAACTAGAATAAATACATAAACATACAGATTGAAAATATTTCCAAATATTAGATCTCCCTCATGTGAGAATTAAATTATAAAGATTGAAGCATATAATAAGCTACCAGAATTTAGGCTACCAGAATAAATTCGATTACACATAAATTTCTGACATTGAAATTGTCACAAATGTTTAAGTTGGTAATGGAAGACAAAGGACATATAATCTTGGGAGTCCTAGGGCCCTGCCCACTGGCAGTGCCTCCACACTACTACAGCTGATGCTTTCTGGAAAACACCACCTCCTGGCAGTAGGCCAACCAGCACAAATATAGAGCATTAAACCACTAAAGCTAAGGACCCTCACAGAGTCTACTGCACCCTTCATCACATCCACTGGAACAGGCGCTGGTATCCATGGCTGAGAGACCCCTAGATGGTTCACATCACAGGGCTGTATGCAGACAACCTCTAGTACCAGCCCAAAGCCAGGTAGACCTGCTGGGTGGCTAGACCCAGAAGAGAGACAACAATCAATGCACTTCGGCTCACAGGAAGCCATGCCCATAGGAAAAGGGGGAGAGTACTATGTCAAGGGAACACTCCGTGTGACAAAAGAGTCTGAACAACAGTCTTCAGCCCTAGACCTTTCCTCTGACAGAGTCTACCAAAATGAGAAGGAACCAGAAAACCAACCCTGGTAATCTGACAAAACAAGACTCTTCAACACCCCCCAAAGAATCACACCAGTTCATCACCAATGGATCCAAACAAAGAAGAAATCACTGATTTATCTGAAAAAGAATTCAGGTTAGTTATTAAACTAATCAGGGAGGGGCCAGAGATAGGTGAAGCTCAATGCAAGAAAATCCAAAAAATGATACAATAAGTGAAGGGAGAAACATTCAAGGAAATAGATAGCTTAAATAAAAAAAAAATCAGGAAACTTTGGATGCACTTTTAGAAACGTGAAATGCTCTGGAAAGTCTCAGCAATAGAATTGAACAAGTAGAAGAAAGAAATTCAGAATTTGAAGACAAGGTCTTTGATTTAACCCAATCCAATAAAGACAAAGAAAAAAGAATAAGAAAATATGAGCAAAGCCTCCAAGGAGTCTGGCATTCTGTTAAACGATGAAACCTAAGACTAATTGGTGTACCTGAGGAAGAAGTGAATTCTAAAAGCCGGGAAAACATATTTGGGGGAATAATCAATGAAAATTTCCATGGCCTTGTGAGAAACCTAGACATCCAAATACAAGAAGCACAAATAACACCTGGGAAATTCATCACAAAAAGATCTTAGCCTAGGCACATTGTCATTAGGTTATCCAAAGTTAAGACAAAGGAAAGAGTCTTAAGAGCTGTGAGACACAAGCACTAGGTAACCTATAAAGGAAGACCTATCAAACTAACAGCAGATTTTGCAGCAGAAACCTTACAAGCTAGATGGAATTGGGGTCTTTTCTTCAGCCTCCTCGAACAAAACAATTATCAGCCAAGAATTTTGTATCCAGCAAAACTAAACATCATATATGAAGGAAGGATACAGTCATTTTCAGACAAACAAATGCTGACAGAATTTGCCATTACCAAACCAGCACTGTAAAAACTGCTGAAAGCTCTAAATCATGAAACAAATCCTGGAAACACATCAAAACAGAACTTCATTAAAGCATAAATCACACAAGACCTATAAAACAAAAACACAAGTCAAAAAGCAAAAACAGAAAACAAAAACAATGTACAGAGGCAACAAAGAGCATGATGAAAACAATGGTACCTCACTTTTTGATAGTAATGTTGGTTGTAAATGGCTTAAATGCTCCACTTACAAGATACAGAACCACAGAATGGATAAGAACTCACCAACTAACTATCTGCTGCCTTCAGGAGACTCACCTAACACATAACAACTTACATAAACTTAAGGAAAGTGGTAGAAAAAGGCATTTCATGCAAATGGACACCAAAAGCGAGCAGCGATAGCTATTCTCATATGAGGAAAAACAAACTTCAAAGCAACAGTAGCTAAAAGAGACAAAGACAGACAGTATATAACGGTAAAGGCCTCATCCAACAGAAAAATATGACAATCCTAAACATACATGAACCTAATACTGGAGCTCCCAAATTTATAAAACAATTACTAGTAGACATAACAAATGAGATAGACAGCAACACAATAATAGTGGGGGCCTTCAATATTCCACTGACAGCACTAGACAGGTCATCAAGACAGAAAGTCAACAAAGAAACACTGGATTTAAACTATACTTTGGAACAAATGGACTTAACAGATATATACAGAACATTTCATCCAACAACCACAGAATACACATTCTATTCCACAGCACATAGAATTTTCTCCAAGATAGACCATATGATAGGCCATAAAAAGAGTCTCAATAAATTTAAGAAAATTGAAATTGTATCACACACTCTCTCAGATCACAGTGGAATAAAAGTGAAAATCCACTCCAAAAGGAATCTTCAAAACCATGCAAATACATGGAAATTAAATAACCTGCTCCTGAATGGGCATTGGGTGAAAAATGAAACCAAGATGGAAATGTAAAAAATTTCTTCGAACTGGATGACACAACCTATCAAGACCTCTGGGATACAGCAAAGGCAGTGCTAAGAGGAAAGTTTGTAGCCCTAAACACCTATGTCAAAAAGTCTGAAAGAGCACAAACAGACAATCTAAGTTCACATCTCAGGGAACTAGAGAAGCAGGAACAAGCCAAACCCAATCCCAGCAAACAAAGGAAATAACCAAGATCAGAGCAGAACTAAATGAAATTGACACAACAATAACAACAACAAAAAATACAAAACATAAATAAAACAAAAAGTTGGTTATTTGAAAAGATAAATAAAATTGATAGACCGTTAGCAAGATTAACCAAGAAAAGAAGAGAGAAAATCCAAATAACCTCACTAAGAAATGAAACAGGGGATATTACAGCTGACACCACTGAAATATTAAAGATTATTCAAGGGTACTATGAACACCTTTTGGCACATAAACTAGAAAACCTAGGAGAGTTGGACAAATTCCTGGAAAAATACAACCCTCCTAGCTTAAATCAGGAAGAATTAGATACCCCAAGCAGACCAATAAAGCAAGCAGCAAGATCGAAATTGTAATATTAAAATTACCAACAAAAAAGCCAGATTCACAGCAGAATTCTACCAGACATTCAAAGAATGTTTTCTTTCATTCAAAGAAGAAATGATACCAATCCTTTCAGACTATTCCACAAGACAGAGAAAGAAACCCTCCCTGATCCATTCTATGAAGCCAGCATCACCCTAATACCAAAACCATGAAAGGACATAACCAAAAAAGAAAACTACAGACCAACATCCTTGATGAACGCAGATGTCAAAATCCTTAACAAAATACTATCTAACTGAATCCAACAACATATCAAAAAGATAATCCACCATGATCAAGTGGGCTTCATACCAGTGATACAGGAATGGTTTAACATATGCAAGTCAATAAATGTGATATACCAAATAAACAGAATTAAGAAAAAAAAACTCACATGATTATATCAACAGATGCAGAAAAAGCATTCGACAAAATCTAGCATTGCTTTATGATTAAAGCTCTCAGCAAAATAGGCATACAAGGGACATACCTTAATGTAATAAAAACCATCTGTGACAAACCCACAGTCACCATAATACTGAATGGGGAAAAGGTGAAAGCATTCCATTTGAGAACTGGAACAAGACGAGGAGCCTACTCTCACTACTCCTCTTCAACATAGTACTGGAAGTCCTAGCCAGAGCAATCAGACAAAAGATCTTCCGAGACTGCGGTGTGGATCTCGCACTGCGGCCACCTCGCCTTCGCAGGGGAGAACCTCAGTGGGCAGGATTCAGAGGGGCTTTTGATTTCCCGTTTTCCACACTGAACCCTTTTAACTGGTCTCTGACCCTGATTATTCAGGGCTGCAAACAGGAAGGATTTTATTCACCGTCGATGCGGCCCCGAGTTGTCCCAAAGCGAGGCAGTGCCCCCAAGGTCTGTGCTGAGGAGTATGCTGCTCTGCCTTCGCGGTGGCCCCCGGGGTCTGTGCTGAGCAGAACACACCTCATCCTGTGCTGAGGAGAATGCAGCTCCGCCCTCCCAAAGGCACACAGCGCCAGCGCAGGGCGCCGAGAAGCGCACCCGAACCTGAATCCTAACCCTAACGCCTTCCTAAGAGCCCTGGGGAGACCTTAGGGAACAAGCATTAAACTGACGCTCGAGTCTGTAGCCGGCTCTGCCAAAAGACTTGGGGTTCGGGTGATATGAGGGCAGGGGTCAGGGAAGAAAGCTTTCTGATTTTAGACCCACAGGAAGATCTGTGAAGTGCACTTGGGTAGAGCACATGTTGCCTGGTGTGTGCTTGAAAAGAGCCTAAGAAGAGGGGGCGTCTGGAAGGAACCGCAACGCCAAGGGAGGGTGTCCAGACTTCCCGCTTCAACACCTGGACACATTCCGGAAAGTTTCCTCAGAAAGCCAGAAAAATAATAATAAATAAAAATCCAGGAGGCGGGGGGTGGGGGGGCCTAATGGGGCTTTACTGGGACTATCTGTCTCAATCCTCCAAACAACCCTGCCATAGCAGCCCAGCCGTCCTCTGAGACAGGTGAGGAACCTGAGGTTACAGGAGGACACCCAGAAGGTCCAAGCAGATCCCCCTAGGCCCCCACACCTCCCCCCGTGGCAGCTTCAACCCCAGCTTTTTCACTAGTAAGGCACGCCGGCTGCTGGACCACTCCCACTCCCCCAAGCAGGAGTTTGATAAACAAACTGTTAATTATTATTACCTATATCTGGATGGGTTATGAGTGAATTTTTTTAAATTTATTTTTATTTATTCTTTATTTATTTTTGCGGGGACAGAGTCTTGCTCTGTCACTCAGGCTGGAGTGCGATGGCATGATCTCAGCTTACTGCAACCTCCACCTCCTGGGTTCAAGGAATTCTCCCACCTCAGCCTCCCAAGTACCCGAGACACAGGCGTATGCCACCACGCCCAGCTAACTTTTGTATTTTTAGTTAGAGATGGGGTTTTGCCACGTTGGCCAGACTAGTCTTGAACTCCCGATGTCAAGTGATTTGTCCATCTCTGCCTCCGAAAGTGTTGGGATTACAGGCGTAAGCTACCACACCCAGCTTAAAATATATTTTTGTTTTCAAAAATTGTGTGGTATGCATGAGTTTTATAGCAAGAAAAAATTATGAACTTATTTTGAATTAAATTCCATTGTTTTAAAATTAAGCAATAGGTGAGCTCGAATTTTAAGCTCCACAAATGACCAAGAACTTCTTTGATTCCCTTTTAAACCTGTTGTCTGTTTTAATCACTCATATGGAATCATTCATAGGTTTTTACTTAAAATCTAAACCAAATAATGAAGTAACTGTTTAAATTGTTAGATTTTGAATATGGTTCAGTTGGATGTAAAATGTAACTATTACTCAGGAAAACGATCTGATTTTTTTTAGCAAGCGATATTCTTTCTTTCGGAGAGCATTTCACAAATGTTTCTACCTAATGAATCATATTTTAAAAATAACACTTGTAATTCTTTTTTCTTTTTAGTTTCCTGCCTGCGATGGTTCACATAATAAACACAATGAATTGACAGGAGATAATGTGGGTCCACTGATACCAAAAAAGAAAGAAGTATAATAATAATATTATAACAATATTTTCTCATTCTTTGTGTATAGAAAATTTTAAAATGTTGGTCTTAATTATTACTACTGGTTGAACAATTATTTCTTCCAATTTATTTTCTTCCTGCACTACTGTTTGTATTTGATCCTTTGTCTATTCAGTCACTTAATTAGAAATTAAATTGTCAAGCCTCTTATTCTGACTTCAAAGAATTAATGTATCTTCCAACAATAAAATCACTTCTGATTTTAATCTAGGAAAACCTAAATTGTGGTTATGGATCCAAAGCTATTTGTTTCTTTGAATATCAATATTTTCAACAGGATCTTGTATTTAAAATTCCCGCCTACATTGTTAAATATGTTATTTTTTCATATCTCTTTTCGTTTTGATAATCTGAAGTGTTTTTTTCTCCTTTTGGCCTTCCAAACTGCATTTGTTTAGGTGAATTAAGAAAAATATTGCCATCAAGAATTACTTGTGTTTTCACAGAGATAGACTCGTTGCTTTATAGAGATTGTTGGGTATTTAATATGAATATCCCATCTTTAGAAAAGAAGTAAACTGGATACAAAAAGTTCCATTGAGGAACAGTTATTTACAGTATAAAAGATTTGTTTACTTTACAAAAGGCTTGTGTCTGTTTGTGTGTGTATATTTTAAACTGTTTGACTCAGTGACAGCTGGGGTGGAATGGCAAGAACACTTACAACCAAACTCATGGGCTGCTGCAATTTGAAGATCAGTTGGTAATAAATATAAGACATATTAATTCATATTAAAATAGTTCAGTGTTCAAAATTGTGGTTACGTGGACATTTTTCTCTTTTTAACACTATAAACCATTAAAATACAGTCATCCCTTGTATACACTGGGGACTAGTTCCAGGGCCACACATATACCAAAATCTGCCCATACTCAAGTCTCACAGAAAGTCTTGCAGAACCCATATGTAGAAAAGTTGGCCCTCCAATTGACCCTCCATACACATGAGTTTCACATCCCATGCACAAATGCTGATCTGTGTGACCTCACCTGCATTTGATTGAAAAAAGTATGCGCATAAGTGTAACCACCCATTTCAAACCCATGTGTAAGGGTCAACTGTACAAAAAAGTTTGTGAAATAAACGTACTGGAGAATCTTTAAAATTTTTGTGCTTTTTAATCCTACTATTATCAGTCTTTTTAGTTTCATCTTACATTACTACTCTCATAATAGCTATCCTTAGCCAGGTGCCATGGCACAGGCCTGTAGTCCCAACTGCTGGGAAGATTGAGGTGGGAGGATGGCTGCAGTGCTGGAGCCCAGGAGTTCAAGGCCAGGCTGGGCAAAATAGTGCTCTGCCTCTGCTGGGCTCTTTAGGGAATCCTTTCTGTTCTGAAAGAGTTACCATTTAACCCTCTTCATTGAGTGCATTTCTGATACCTTGCTAGGCACTATGGAAACTGCTTAGTTGAGAAAAGACAAATACAAAAGCTTTTCTTTAGTCTATTTAAGATACAATTTATTCAGTTCACTTTGCTTTCTTTTTATAAGAAGGTACAAGGGACAGAGGTAATCCTAGAAACAAAACTAATTGTCATTGAGAACTTGTATGTACCAGACACTACACTAAGCATGGTACTTGGGTTTTTAATTTATTACATGTAATGTCAGTAGGTTAAATTATATGATCAGAACATCTTCATGACCAGCAGCATGTATTTTAGAGTTAGAAATGTAGTCTGGTTTTCGAGAAGTTTTACAAGGTGTATGTCCAAAATTATTTTTCTTTCCTCACATGTCAGTGGGGGATAAATACAGCATTGCTCTCACTTCTTTGACTCTCTGTACTTTTTTGGATACATTTTCTTCAACACTGTTAAAGGGCCTCACTGTCAGATTAACCAATTATTTTTCCACAGTTGGTCACCAGACTTTGGAAAAAATCCACCTCACCAAAATTTTGGATATCCTGGTCTGTGGTCATGAAATGCTTTTCTTTTTGTAAAATCTGTCACTGCGTCTCACAGCAACTTGTTTTCACACATGTTCTAGTGGTTCCCATAACTTAGATTTTACAGGAGGAAAATTTACTAAAAATGAGGAGACTAAAATGAATGACCAACTTTGAATTTTGTCAAATAACATTGAAAATGAATTATCTCATAAAAGGTAATATTAATACCCCAAAAGTAAGATGGTTATACTCTCAGAATAAAGACTTTTTCCCTGCCACATTTTCAGTTGTTAAAATATGCTAAGAGCTATGCCCATATATTTTCCCACCTGTGCAAATTTTTCAGAAGCCTAGGGTTGGTAGTAAGCTCTTGCTTTAATAACTCTTTTAAATAAGCATTATTAGCAGTTTCCATTACTTCTTGTAAATTTACACAATTTTATCTTGTCCATCTTTAAAAAATAGACATCTAATAACCAAATGTATTTGAATTGATACAGTATAAGTAACTCGTAGAACTTGAGGATAAGTGGTAAACGAAAAAAAAAGTAACTTGGCTCTTGAAATACGTCTTGGGTTTCTAGAGCCTTCAAAATACAGCCCTGTTGTTATTGTTTCACATTATGATTGTTTTGAGGGCTACTTCTGCTTACCTAGGAAACTACTCATGCCTTACTCAGCAAATGAGCACCACCATTACATAAACATAAGGTATCCAAAAGTGTTAGTAGGCTTGAGGTATGAATGATTCATTCTTATGGGTAATTAAGCAAGTTGAATTATGGAAAGCACCTCACAATTCACACAATTCAGCTTTGAGTTCAATGCCAAATATGATGATTCATTAAGATGCCTTTGTATTTTGTAACCTAATTTGTTAATAAGTTACAGGAAGCCAATTAAGCTAGCTGCTGATCTATATAGTACTACCTTCCTCATTGTGATTCCATAGTCTTCCAATAGAAATGTGCTGTCAGAATCTGTATAAAGAATTTGTAAATTCCACTATTTAACAAGGTTCTTAAGAATTTAGGTGGATGTTTTATTTGATACCTACTAAAGAAACTTAACTAATTGTATAGCACTTAACCCATTTAGAATTCAGTTGTGGCAGCATAACCAATCTGGAGAGACCAGGGGAGATGTTACTAATGCTTGTACTTTATTCAGAAGTGAGTGCCTCATTGGCTTGGTGCAGTGACTACACACCTGTAATCTCAGCACTTTGGGAGGCTGAGGTGGGTGGAGTACTTGATCTCAGGAGTTCCATACCAGCCTGGGCAACATGGTGAGATCTCACCTCTACAAAAAAATACAAAAATTAACCGGGCACCAGTGGTGCACCCATAGTCCCAGTTACTCAGGAGGCTGAGGCACAAGAATCTCTTGAGTTGAGGAGGCCAAGGTTGCAATGAGCCAAGATTGTGCCACTGCACTCCAGCCTGGGCAACAGGAGTGAGACTCTATCTTAAAAAAAAAAACTCTTTTTTCTTCATCTAATCAAATTTATTGGGGCAGAAATCAGTACGAAGTTCATAGGACAGGAGGAAACCAATATAAACATCTCAGCATTGTAGGAAATTCAACCCATGGAAAGCAGGGCTGAATTAAAGACCACTTTGAAGGCCAGGAAAAGCAGATAATTTAGATATAGTCAAAGTATGAAATCATTGATAGATCCAGAACAAGGGAATGATGTATGTGTTTACATATTAGATCTACTTTATTAACAATTTTCCCTCTGTTAAACTAATATCGACTAATAGTAGTCTAGGTAAGTCAAGTTCAAATTAAATGGCAATTGAAAAGTCTTCTTTTTAAAAAAATTTTAATGGTAGAGGCAGCAGCTACCCAGAGTCTACTTATTCTTACTTCACATTGAATTCTAACAAGTTAGGTTATCTGATTTCTGCTTCCTAACAAATCACAAGTATCGAAAGGGTCTTGCAGAAGGGGTGAACTATAAAATGTGACAACTGACAGCAAGGCAGGGGAACAAAAATAAATTTAAGGTGAACATTAAAAGCATAGCACCTTGAGACAATTTATAGGATTCCGCATACAACTGTCTCTGAGGACATCACTGCGATCAAATTATACAAGTGATGTTTAGGGATGAATTGAAATCAAGATAAGTAGTATGTGTTATTTAAAAAGGCAGGATATGTGTTGCATTCAATGGCAACAATTTCCCCTTAGCTATTTAGTTAAAAGCTTAGTGCTTAACATGTTGGAAAATTTATGCGTAAAATATATTGACTTATTCCTTGATGATTCGAGGCTTTATCACAGGAAGTTTTCCCATTCAATTGAAACATTTTTCAAGCTTAATGACTATAACTTACTACATAATTTATTTTGTTAAAGTTTGAGGAAAACTAAATAAAGAAGTAGCAATTTAAGTCATAATAAATTTTGTTAGATGACTTCTTCCACTTTAGGGGGAATTAAAAATCTTGTTTAAAAACCACATGTGCAGCAGTTCTGTGACTGCCTCAACACCTAGTTGGCCATATAGTCCCTTTGCACCACAGAGGTTGGAGTATAGAACATGCCCAAAGCTGTTTTGTTTTGTTTTAACTATGCTGCATCATCTGAGGTTGTGTTAACATAGTTTGTCCTAATAGTCTTTTACTGGAAAGTTGCTATATTTGATTATGTTCAGCAAGTAAACTAATTTTATCTACTTTCATATATTTTGAGACAAAGTCTGGCCCTGTCACCCAGGCTGGAGTGCGGGGGCTTGATCGTACCTCACCGCAGCCTCAGCCTCTTGTGCTCAAGCGATCCTCCCACCTCAGCCTCCCAAGTAGCTGAGACTACAGTCATGCTTCATCATGCCTGGCTAATTTTTTACTTTTCTAAGAGACAGAGTCTCACTATGTTACCCAGGCTGCTCTCGAAGTCCTGGACTCAAGTGATCCTCCCTGCCTCAGCACTCCCAAAGTGCTGGGATTGCAGGTGTGAGCAACCATGCCTGGTGTTTTATCTTTTGCAGAAATCCAATTTAGTAAAGTCATGTTGTAGCAAGCATCATTTTCATATAAAAAGTGTACAGTTCACATTATTAGCAAATGTATTGTGTAATTTTATATTAGTTATGGTCTTCAAGGACATTGAAAATCTATTCAGAAAGACTGTGTTTTTCAACCAGAGATGACATCACTCTAACTTTCCTTTGGTTTAAACGCTTGATTCTTTGCTTACAAAATTTCTGTTTTGAAAAATTATGGTGAGGAAGTATATTTGTGATACTGTTTTCTTAGAACACTGTTGTCAGATAGATCAGCCATAATGTTAACACATTTCTGATCTCTATTATAAGGCTGTAATTTTCCAAAATAACATAGAAAAGGAGAAAAGGGTAGTACATTTCATAATTACTGAGATGAACCTTGTACTAGTGAGAAAATAAAAATGCCAACAATTTATTAAATTTTCAGATTTCCTGTAATTTTCCATCACTATCCCTCATACATTTCTCTGCATGATCACACTAAAGATATAAATTAATCACATCCATTCATCAAATAAAGAAACTCAAAACTCACAAGTACAATCTTCAACTTTGTAGAATGCTACCAAGAAGTAAAATAAGATGAAGGTAGAAAGATTCTCTTTGAGGGCCAGGTGCGGTGGCTCACACCTGTAACTAATTCCAGCACTTTGAGAGGCCAAAGTGGACAGATTGCTTAAGGTCAGGAGTTCAAGACCAGCCTGGTCAACATTGTGAAAACTCGTCTCTACCAAAATACAAAAATTAACTGGGCATGATGGCGGATGTCTGTAATCCCAGCTACTCGGGAGGCTGAGGTGGAAGAATCACTTGAATCCAGGAGGCAGAGGTTGCAGTGTGCCAAGGTCATGCCATTGCATTCCAGCCTGGGCCACAGAGCAAGACTCCATCTCAAAAAAAAAAATAAAATAAAATGAAAAAGAAACATTCACTTTGAAATGCTGCATGCAACTATATGGCCACACATTGGAAAATCTAGAGAAAATGGGTAATTTTCTGGAAAAATATAAATGACCAAAACTAATCCAAGAAGAAATTTAAAATGTTAATAGACCAGTTACAAAGAAAGAATGTACAGTGATTTTTTAAATCCATAATTTAAAAAAGTACTAGGGTTGCAAGAAGGATAATTCCAATGTTATTTAAAGTATCCCAAATATTTTTAAAAAAGAGAAACCAATTCATTTCACATAGGCAGTGCAGCATTAATATGAAAACCTGATAAACATAAGACAAAACTATAGGCCAGGTGCCATGGCTTACACCTGTAATCCCAGCACTTTGGGAAGCCAAGGCAGGTGGATCACTTAAGGTCAGGAGTTCAAGACCAGCCTGGACAATATGGTGAAAACCAGTCTCTACTAAAAATACAAAAATTAGCCCGGCATGGTGGTGCATGTCTGTAATCCCAGCTTGAACCCAGGAGGCAGAGGTTGCAGTGAGCCAAGATCACGCCACTGCACTCCAGCCTGGGTGACAGAGCAAGTCTCCATCTCAAAACAAAAAACAAACAAAAAAGCCAAAACTATAGACCAATCTGACTTATACATATGAATGAATATTCTAAATAAAAACCCAGCACTTTTATCAATAATTGCAACAACAAAAAAGAGTAATACAGTATGCAAAGAGCATTGTATTTCAGGAATTCACGGGTATTTCAATATCAGTTAAGTATATTAACACAATTACATAATTGACATCAAAGAAGAGGAAAATGTGATTATATCAGTAGATGCTGAGAGGGCTATTGTTAAGATTAAACATCCACTGCTAATGAAGATTCTCGAGTAAAATAGAAATTGAAGGAAAGTGTCTAAACATAACCGTTATTTATGAAATGCCTACAAAACAAGTATTTTAAATCATAAAGGAACATTTCAATTAAAACAAGGAACCAGTAGGAATAGCTGCTGTCAGTATTTGTTATTAAAGATTATCTTGGAGGATCCATGAATGTAACAAGATTTTTAAATGAAATAATCAGTATAAATATACAGAAAACTTTTTGTGGATATGATTATATGCCTAGGAAATCATAGAGATTAGGAAAAACAGAACTTTCAAATATTTTAAAGAGGAATATTGGTAAGGTATTTGGAAATAAGATCATAATACAAAATAGATTAGCAATAAGCACCTTGAAATGCTAATGGTAAAAATATTCACAATAACAAAAATAATAAAGGTAAAATAAATTTACCAAGAAAGACGATCTATAAGAAAAAAACTATAAAAATGTTACCAAAAGCTGTTGAATAAGAAACACATGAGGCTAGGTGCAGTGGCTCATACCTGTAATCCCAGCACTTTGGGAGGCTGAGGCAGGAGGACAGCTTGAGCCCAGAAGTTCAAGACCAGCTTTGGCAAATTGTGAAACCCTGTCTCTAAACAAAACAAAACAAAACAAAAAACTAGTTGGGCTTGGCGCATGCTTATAGAACCAGGTACTTGGGAGGCTGAGGTGGGAGGTTGGGGCTTCAGTGAGCTGAGATCCCACAACTGCACTCCTGCCTGGGTGACACAGTGAGACCCTGTCTCAAAAAAACAAACAAAACTCTTGTAAAAGCATAAATCTCCTAAAATTATATATAAATTCAATTAAATTCACATTAGAATCACAAAAACATTTTAAAATTTGATTAAATTATCTTAAAGTTCATGTAGAAGAATAGTCAGAAAATTGTACCAAAAAAAAAAAGACTATTGAGAGGAACTTTTCTCACCAGATATCAGCACCTACTATAGAACTATTGGAATTGATCAATTAAGAAAAACAATTGTATTAATTAAGAATAAGCAAGAGTGGTAAAAAATTGAGAATCTACAAGTAGATGAAAAATTAATATATGAAAATAAACAATTCAAAGAAAACAAAATTGGACCCTCAATTTACACTGAAGGCTTTGAAGTGATACATAAAATGATTTTTAAAATGATTTAAATACTTACATAAATGGAGAGAGGAAGGGTGGGAGAGAAGCGGGAGAGAGAGAAAATAGAAGACTAAAGACAGGAACACCTATGTGGAAAAAGATAACACTTAATGACAAAATATGTTTTATGTGATTATCAGTTATACATAATAAATATTGGGGACATTGCGTTGTGGATTACAGTAAAGCATTAAGAAACAGAGTAAGTGAATAAAAAAAGGAAAGAAAACTACCAAATTCCATGTGTGATACCCCGTTTTGAAATTACATAAATTAAACATGTGTACACATAAGAAAATTTTAAACATTAAAATTTTGTTTACAAAATGGATTTGATGACACGAAGGCCATTGATGACCTTACCCACAGCAGCTTTGTTTAAATGGGGATTAAGGATGGAACAAAATTTTTATTAGAACACTTTGAATAATGAATTAGCAAACTACAATAAACTGAAATCTTACCTACCAAATAATCTCAGTAAAGTAAACAAATCTAAAAGAAATGAATAAAACAATTGTGAGCAAAAAAGGATAGAGTCACTGCATATAATGTAAATGAGACAAGGATGGTCTCTGTGTATTGGCACCTAGGTTATTTCTTCACAGCAAGCTGAAACCCATTAGCTCAAAAACGAACTGGCACCAAACTCAAATTTTTAAATATCCAATTGTGTTAAACATAGCCCAGACATGC
The DNA here is from genome assembly GCF_000001405.40 of Homo sapiens. Classification (NCBI taxonomy): domain Eukaryota; kingdom Metazoa; phylum Chordata; class Mammalia; order Primates; family Hominidae; genus Homo; species Homo sapiens. The sequence goes on from NW_021160000.1 coordinate 298,991, forward strand.
AGATTTGTAGGCATTTAGAGCCTGCCTGATTTACATGCCCTGGGAAACTACATCCAAAATCTGCTTGCCACAGATAAACTCTAGGCTGTAAAGACTCCAAACTGCTTCTGCTCTTTGGAACTCTGTGAACTACAGACTCCATGCCATGCTGCTGAGTGATATCACTGAGACATGAAAGCCTCCTCTCTGATCCTTTCCTCCCTCAGGAGTTCCTTTGCCCTCCTCCCTTTCTGAATGGTGGCCCCCTTGTCTCAATCCTCTGGTCCATCTCTTGCTGTGAAGGCCTTCCCCAGGATACAAACCTGATAAGAGATCATCCAGATAAAGCCCATGTGTGCTTCTTTCACATCTTTTTCTATATTTTTCTAATTTTTTTCTAAACTTTTCTAATTTTTTCTTAATTTTTATAAAATTGTGGATACCTAATAATGTAGTCTCAAAATAAATAAAACCAAAATTAGAATTGGAAATAGCAATAAAAAAATCTACACAGTGAGAGATTTTAACATTTCATTTTTAGTAATTGAATAAATAAACATAAAATTAGTAAGGCTAATCAACAGTTAAAGAATTTCGATTCTTTTCAAGCACACTTGGAGTATTTACAAAAATTGACCAGATATTAGGCCTAAAGGTAGTATCAAATGTTTACATTGGTATAACAAATGTGTCATAGCACTATTAGAAATCAATAACAAAATCTTATCCAAAAGTAATCCATGAATTTTAGAAACTACAAACAGCTTCCAAATGATTCATGGAAGCAAGAAGAAATTATAATAAAAATTAGAACATGCTTAAAATTGAATTAAAATGAAAAGATTACCAATCAATATATATGTAAAATAACTGAAGCAGTACTTAGAGTGAAATTTACCAGAAGCAATTCACATTCTTGGGAAGGACAACAGCATGCATTTAGAGACTTATCCAAGATGTATATTAGTTCTTTGACTCTCTGTCCTAATGTAGTCCAGAGACCTGAGCTGTCTGGACATTCTGTAGCATGT